>NC_000020.11:2490577-2642092 GCF_000001405.40 Homo sapiens | reverse complement strand
TTGTTGTTAAGACAGCGTCTCACTCTGTTGCCCAGACTGGAGTGCAGTGACGTGATCTTAGCTAACTGCAACCTCTGCCTCCTGGGCTCAAGTGATCCTTCTGCCTCAGCCTCCCAAGTAGCTGGGATTACAGGTGCATACCACCATGCCTAGCTAATTTTTTTGTAGGGATGGGGTTTCGCCACATTGCCCGGGCTGGTCTTGAACTCCTGGGCTCAAGCGATCCACCCACCTTGGTCTCCCAAAGTGCTGGGACTACAGGTGTGAGCCACTGTGCCTGGCCTGGACCTTTCATTTAAACCAGCTCACTTCCTCTGGATTGAGAAATGTAGGCCCTTCTCCATCCCCCTCCTGGTTAGGGAAGCTGGCAGAAACCCGTGTCCTAAACTGTATCCCATGGAAAAAGTCTACGAGGGTGGTCATGGCCCTTCCCCAACTCCGAAAATCGGGAGGCAAGGTCGACCACTGTGAGCGTGGGGTTCAGAGCTGTCTGAACCAAGATATTTGGGAGGGCAGTTAGTGCAGAGATGGCTCCAGCTTCCCTAAAGGACAGGTGAAGCCACTGTCTTCCTCCTTCGGTAGCTGACAAGGGCCTGAAGGAATCAAAGTTCATGCATTCCAAGAGAGGAGACAGAGCATGTATGTGAGAGGAAAGAGGGGAGAGAACCTTGGTTTGGTATGTGTGAAACTGGGGTACTTGAGGATCAGCCCTAGGGTCGAGGCTCCCTGGAGTCCTAGCCATCAGTGGGGAGGTCTCTGAGCACTCTTTCCAGAGGCTGACCTCCACGGATGAGTCTGAGATGGGGCGTGGCCAGAATCTGGTCCGATTCCAGGGGGCCGAGATATAGGAAGGTGTCCAGAGGCAGGCAGTGTGGTCCTGCTGGCAGAATTGGAGGTCCCAGGGCCCTGCGCCTTCTTGTCCATGGCCTGGCTTTGGCTGGCAGAGGGAGGAGTGGTCTCTGGAAAACGAACCAAGACAAGAAAGAGGAAGTGGGAGATTTTGTACAGGTTGGATTGGAGCTCTCTGGAGTCGCCCTGCGGTGTGTGTAGGTTTTAGTCCTATTTGGTGATGTGAGAGCTGTCGGATTGCACTCAGCTGTCTCGGGGTCACCTTGGCCTGGCTTTTGCATAAACACATCTGTTGGAGGAGTATGGTCTTCTGGCTAGAGAACTTGATTTTGAACCTGGCCTTAGGCTAGACTCTCTGATCCCGGGTTTTCTAGAGTACAAAATTGGGACAAGAATAACGGCAGCCTCGCAGGGTGACTGCCGGGGTCAAAAGTGATGACGGAAGGGGAGGGGCTGTGGGAATTGTTTGGAATCAGATCTACTTTCCAATCCTTCATTAACTTGTTTCCTTCCCCTCCTCTAACTCCAAGTTAGGGAAAATGACTGCTCTTTACTAAACCCAGTCCCTCTTGTTCTGGGACACAGAAATGGGCTCTGGTTCCCTTGTGGATGAGTGTGGCCTGTGCTGGAGTTCCAGGCTTTGATGGGACCACATCCAGGTGTGTCCCCTAAGCTCTTCCCCTTGCACTAGCTTGATGCAGGCAGAGCCCCAAGATGGAAGGAGCCAGGGTCCCCATATCAGCACTTGAGGCTGTCAGGTGAAAGCACCCAGTTTGGACTTTGTGTTGAGTGAGAAATGAACTTTTATGGTGTCTGAGCCACTAGCCATTTTGGGCCTCTTTGTTGCAGCAGCTAGTATCATTTTATTATAGCGAATACTTAATAATAAAAAATGAATAAAATTCCAGTTACTAAGAAATTGGAATGCTTGTATAAAAAAAAAGTTCAGGCCAGGTGCAGTGGCTCATGCCTGTAATCCCAGCACTTTGGGAGGCCGTTTGAGGCGGATCACTTGAGGCTGATCATTTGAGGTCAGGAGTTTGAGACCAGCCTGGCCAACGTGGTGAAATCCCATCTCTACTAAAAATACAAAAATTAGCCAGGCATGGTGGCAGGTGCCTGTAATAACAGCCACTCAGAAGACTGAGCAGGAGAATCACTTGAACCTGGGAGGCAGAGGTTGCGGTGATCAGAGATCGTGCCACTGCACTCCAGCCTGGGCGACAGAGTGTGACTCCATCTCAAAAAAATAAAGTTCAAATTCCTAAACTGTCAGTCATTCCTTATGCATCTCATTCACTTCTTACATCCAAGGCTAAAGTGTCTGCGTGCAGACACTGTTTAATTTTAAAACAGAGATGATCTCTGGAAAATGGGATCATCTCAGAGATGGTCTCTTTCAACTTGACCTTTCCTCACTCCTAATTTGAGGTGGTCTATGATCACTCCCCTTTGAAGCCCCAGGATATTTTCACTTGATCTTAGCCAAAAGGCCGAGGAGCAATAGCCCCAAGATACTTTCCTGGGAACTTTTTATGTTGACTTTTCTCACTCTATTATTCTAGATATTCCAGTGCTTCTCTTTTCAGAGAATATAAACTATAGCACACGTTGCTTAAGGATGCGGATACATTCTGAGAAATGCATCATTAGGTGATTTTGTTGTTGTGTGACCATCATAGAATGTACTTACCCAAACCTAGACGGCATGGCCTGTTATACACATAGGCTATATGGTTCAGCCTATTGCTCCTAGATTATAAACCTGCACAACACTTACTGTACTGAATACTTTATAAACAGTTGGAACATAATGGTAAATATTTGTGTATCTAAACATAGAAAAGGTAGAGTATATGAAAGATGACAAATGGTAAACCTGTCTAGGGCACTGACCATGAGTGGAGCTTGCAGGACTGGAAGTTGCTCTGGGTGAGTCAGTGAGTGGGTGATGAGTGAATGTGAAAGCCTAGGACACCACTGTCACTACTGCAGACTTTATAAACACTGCGCACTTAGGTTACACTCAATTTACAAATATTTTTTCTAGGCCGGACGCGGTGGCTCAGGCCTGTCATCCCAGCACTTTGGGAGGCCGAGGCGGGCGGATCACGAGGTCAGGAGTTCAAGAACGGCCTGGCCAACATGGTGAAACCCTGTCTCTACTAAAAGTACAAAAAATTAGCCAGGCATGGTGGTGGGCACCTGTAATCCCAGCTACTCAGGAGGCTGAGGCAGGAGAATCACTTGAACCCTGGAGGTGGAGGCTGCAGTGAGCCGAGATCACACCACTGCATTCCAGCCTGGGTGACAGAGTGAGACTCTGTCTCAAAAAAAATTTTTTTTTTCTTTCTTCAATAATAAACCTTAGCTTATTGTAACTTTTCTACTTTATCTCTTTTATAATAACAGTTGGCTTAAAACACAAATACACTGACCACCTGTACAAAAATATTTTTTCTTTATATCCTTATTTGATAAGCTTTTTCTGTTTTTAAGAATTTTTTTTCTTTTTACTTTTAAAATGTTTCTTGTTAAAAACTAAGATGCAACACACACATTAGCCTAGGTCTACAAAGGGTTGGGATCATCAATATCACTGTCTTCCACCTCCACATCTTGTCCCACTGGAAGGTCTTCAGGGGCAATAACACACATGGAGCTGTCATCTCCTGTGATAACAACACCTTCTTCTGGAATAGCTCCTGAAGGACCTGCCTGAGGCTGTTTTACAGTTAACTATTTTTTATATAAGTAGAAGGAATCTACTCTAAAATAATAGTAAAAAGTATAGTATAGTAAACACATAAGCCAGTAACATAATTATTATCATTATTGAGTATTCTGTGCCATATATAATTGTATGTGCTAGAGATTTTTTTTTTTTGAGATGGAGTCTTGCTCTGTTGCCCAGGCTGGAGTGCAGTGGCACAATCTCAGCTCATTGCAAGCTCGGCTCACTGCAAGCTCCGCCTCCCGGGTTCACACCATTCTCCTGCCTCAGCCTCCCAAGCAGCTGGGACTACAGGCGCCCGCCACCACGCCCGGCTAATTTTTTGTATTTTTAGTAGAGATAGGGTTTCACCGTGTCAGCCAGGATGGCCTCGATCTCCTGACCTTGTGATCCGCCCGCGTCGGCCTCCCAAAGTGCTGGGATTGCAGGCGTGAGCCACCACGCCCGGCCTAGACTTTTATATAACTGGCAGCTCAGTAGGCTTGTTTACACCAGCTCACAACAAACACATGAGTAATGTGTTTTGCTACAATGTTGACAGTTACGTCACTTGGCAATAGGAATTATTCAGCTCCATTATAATCTTATGGGGCCACCATTGTAGATGCCATCCATGGTTGATCCAAATGTTATTAAGGGGTGCATGACGGCACTACTGCCAGCTGGTATTCATTGGCTCATTCTCTGTGCCAGGAATTCTGGTAGGCACTTTACATGCATGATTACATCTCATCTTCACCATCCCATGAGGCAGGTGCTATGATTGACCCCTATATTCACCTGCCCAACTTCATAAGCTAATAATTGTTAGGATTCTGATTTCAATCCCAGAACAGTCTGATTTCACGCTGTTTCATAGGCTCTTTACACCTTTCCATGTGGCCTTGTAAAACATAATCATTATGACAAAGAGCTTACCTTCCTTGGTGAGTTGGAGCTGGGTGGCATTTTTGGAGCTGCTTTTAGGTGTGTCCTCTGAATCTCTGGCTGTGGCTTTGCCTTTTACAGATTTGTGACTCTTCTCAACTTCACGGAGCTGCAGGAAATAATGAACTGTTGGTCCTGGCCCAGGAAATGGGTCTTTGAGGCTCAGAGGTGTTGAGAGTGATTTTTTTTTTTTTTGAGACAGAGTCTCACTCTGTTGCCCAGGCTGGAGTGCAGCGGCGTGAACTCGGCTCACTGCAATCTCTGCCTCCTGGGTTCAAGCGATTCTCCTGCCCTCAGCCTCTCGAGTAGCTGGGATTACAGGTGTGTGCCACCACACCTGGCTAATTTTTGTATTTTTAGTAGAGACGGGTTCACCATGTTAGCCCAGCTGGTCTTCAACTCCTGACTTGAGGTGATCCACCGGCCTCGGCCTCACAAAGTGCTGGGATTACAGGCGTGAGCCACCATGCCCGGCCTGTTTTCAGTTCTTGGTGTCTATCTTAAACTGCCTGTTACTGGTCCTCACAACTGATTGGAGAGGGCAGCCTGAGGCTCTCAGATTCACATAGCAATTGAAGGAACATGTGGCCAGAGGACAGCGATCTTTCCAATCCTCTATTTCAGTGGTTTTCTGTACCTGGGCAGGAGCCCAGTGAGATTAACAGAAGAAGGGGCTGGGCACGGTGGCTCACGCCTATAATCCCAGCACTTTGGGAGACCAAGGCAGGCGGATCACGAGGTCAAGATATGGTGACCATCCTGGCTCACATGTACTAAAAATACAAAAATTAGCTGGGTGTGGTGGTGCATGCACGCCTGTAGTCCCAGCTACTTGGGAGGCTGAGGCAGGAGAATCACTTGAACCTGGGAGGTGGAGGTTGCAGTGAGCTGGGATCGTGCCACTGCACTCCAGCCTGGTGACAGAGCGAGACTCCATCTTAAAACAAACAAACAAACAAACAAAAAACCAGAAGAAGGTGTGGACGGGGGGACCAGTAGCAAGACAGATGAAATTCACTCCAGAAGAGGGACAGAGAAAGCAAGAACAGGGCTTAGGGAGGGTTAGGGTCTGAATTTTAGGGTGTGTGCGTGTGTGTGTGTGTGTGTGTGTGTGTGTGTGTGTAGACAGCAGTCAGAAGTAGGGTGTCAGCTGGGATGTTGAGAGAGGCTTCCCATGTGTGAAGGGGACTCAGGAGATCTTTTAGGCTAAAGGGCACAAGAAATACGTGATTTTGACAACATTTCTTTTAGTATTTAAATATTCACTTTAACCTGTAGGAGTTATTGTGGATACTGGCTTTTTCTGTATGAGCATTGGCTGAACTCACTGAATTTCTCCTGTTCTTTAGTAACCCCTTGAAATTTAAGTCATTATTGTCACAAATCACCAAATAGCCTCAATAATATAAATGCATGCTGTTGAATCTCACAAGGCTACTTCCCATAATACAGATATTTTGGGATTTGGTTTAGAAGAAAGCCATTTAGATAACACAGCTGGGCTCACACAGCAAATTAGCAAAAACCAAAAACATGATCTCTTTTTACCGTCCAGGATGAAACTCCCAACAGACTCACCACTTGGATTTTCTTCCTCAGCTGGGCATTAGCTCGGGAAAGGCTTTTGGAAACTGAGTTCAGGTAGTAAATGGCCAAGCTGCAAGAGAAAAGCATGCCTCCTATGGTCCCGTGATCTTGGCAGATGATAGGAGCTGGGCGCCTTTCTTGGGGAATCAGGGCAGGATTCCTGGAATAGTTACTGAGGCTTTGGGTGGGTGTCCTACCATCTTCTTTTCTCAATGTGGAGAAGGTCCTGGATGCCCCTGCATCCTCTCTATTTTATTATGCGTGGGCATAACTACATAGCTCTAGCTCTGCGAGTGCTCAGTAAAGGTTGGCTGGAGGAATCATCCCTCTTCTGGGAAATCTGAGGTGGCCAGAGGGTGGCAGGGTTTACTGACTGCAGAAGAAGCTGGTCACGTTTCCTGGGCACCTGCCCTGTGCCAAGCTCTGTGCCATGTGCACAATCCACCCCCACCCCACCCCATCTCATTGGCTTTGATGAAAATGCCATGAAGCAGAGAGTAGACTTCTATGTTTAAAGGCCTGGGTCCTGGGACTCAGTGAGGTTAAATAATTTGCCAAGGTCATCCCACCCATGAGTACTCTTTGCAGCCCACATTGGAAACCAACACTTTTTCTACAGTTTTCAAACCCTGAGAGGGGGAGGTGGAGGTGTTAAGAGACCTAAGTTTGCCGAAGAAGCACAATTGCAGATGCTCTGAAGCCTCCTGCTCAGAGTGCCCTAGCATGTCTGGCCCTGACCTTATGGGTTTTAGAGTCCAGCCCCCATTGGCTCACTAGGTGATCGGGTGTCCTTTGAGGCTGCAGCCCAGGCTTTCTTTTCACAGGTCCTAAGGTCTGGGGTTATGACCTGGACTGTACTACACAGGACACACAAAAGCCAGACTGCCACCTGGAGTGGATGCTTTGCCAGCCTATTATCTGCTAGCTTTTTATGTCCATCCTTATTAGTAGTTTTTCTCCATGACTTTCAAGCTCAGCTGCTCCAGCTTTGGTCTCTGGAACCTTCCCCCTCAGGGCTAGGCCATCCATAACTGCCTCAATAGAGCCTGTGAGCCCTCTCCAGTCAGAGAAGAGGAGCCCCATGGTCTTTGGGGCAGAGTGTAGGTCAGAGGCTGTCAAGTGAGCCTTCTGAAGCAAGGATTCAGAGATTCAGAGAACTATAGGTGAGGGGAGGAGAGAATAAAGGACAGGTGAAGAGACCAATTTCTGTTATGTAAGGCATTACTCTGGGCCAGTCCTTGCCATTTACCTAATTAGCCCATTTTTTTAAGGGAGGAATCAGAGGTCAGAGGCCAGAGAGGTAACTTGTCTGGCTCAAGATCACAGACCCAGCAAATGGTGGATAAAATGCTCATGGGTGGCTATGTACCTCCCAAGGTTGTTTCCAAATTTAGCATTTCTCCTTGGTGCCTTCAGGGTCAGGTTTGGTGTCTGGCTTTCAGAATTTCCCCAGGAGGGCACAAGGCAATCCAGATTGTCACTATCATGTCATCCCTGTCATGCCAGCAGCAGAGGAAATTTGAAATCAAGGATATAAAACAACACACAAGTGTTTGCTGTTGGCAATGACAGTATTCAGGGCACAGAGCAGATCTTCAAGAATGGGTGTTACATGAATAGATGAACAAATGAAAGGATTCTACATTCACTCTGGCCCCCTTAGGGTCCTGGAATCTCTGTGAGTCTATGTTCATTTTGAGTAAGCTACCAGAGAGGGTGCTGAAGGAGAGGCGCCATTGCAGAGTGTGGAGCTCCAGTTCCCCTCCAGGCTGGCAGCCTTTGAGCAGCGGGCAGGAAACTGACCACAGCGTTGGGGGAGGCCGGCTTCATCAGACTATCCTGTAGCTGAAGAGAGCCCTGATGAGGAGCAGCCATTTCTTGAAATACTTTTTGGGAATTTCAAAGCATAAACAGACAGAGACAAACAGATACATCTAAGGAACAACAAAGATGATAGTCAAAGAGGGAAGGTTTTAACAAAGTCTTTAAGCCCATCCAAGGCTAAAGTTCAATCCAGATGTCAGCAAAATTGGCAAAGACTTCTGAAAATCCTCTCTTCCTTAAAAGCAGTGAGAATGCCAGCCAAAATTGTCAGAATCAAATTTTTTCAGAACTCAAAATTAACCAAAGGTTTGCAGCAGATCTAGGGAGTACCTTTTCAAGGAAAACAGCTAAATTCCAGCAAGAACAGTGAGTTCTGCAGCATCTAAGTTGCCTTATATCCCCTCCCCTACCCAGTTCTGTAGTAGGTTTGGAAACCAACAGCACCAAATTTTGGTGAAAATCAGTAGCCTGGCAGTCACTGGAGGAGGTAGAATGGATTTGGAGCACCTTAAAATCCTCAGACCCAGAGAACTGTCATTATTTGATTTATCCAGTGGTTGATACTACTCACAAGGCTATCTTTATTTGACCTGGCTCAAAGCCCAATCAGTGTGAACTTTTTCTCTGAGATTGGCAAAAGCAATCAGAGGCAATTGTTGAACATCACGGCTGTGAGAAGTGTTGCATAACAGTTGGGGCAAACAATAGGCTAACCAAAAAGTTTAAAAGGAGAACTGGGGAATGGGATGTCCAATGGGGGCTTTAAAACACTTTGAAATATTCCTGGGAATCTATAGAGAACTGTGTGCATGATGTGTAAGGCTCTGTGCCTGTCCAGGGCTGTTTATGTGTCCAAGAAAGACTTGAGAAGGCCCTGAGCTCTCACCTCTGGTAACCTTGAGTCTCTGAACAAGCAGTCAGTGACAGCTAAGGTAGAGTTGTAAACTGCCTGGTTGAATGTTGAAGGCATACCCCAATACATACACAGAGCCTGTTGGGAAATACTGGGAGTCTTACTGGTTCCAGACATGTAAGAAAATCTCTTTCCAGTCAGTAGGTGTCTACTAAGCTAACTGAGCACAGACTTTAGTGGCCACACACAACAAAGAAAACAGACTTTACATAATTAGTTCAGAAAAGTTATTAAACAACAATAACGACAACAATTATAACAACAAACAGCAACAACAACAAACCCATGGAAGGGAGGCGAACCTGATTTCCATGGCTGCCATATAATACTATTTAAGATATCCAGTTTTCAGCAAAAACTAGTAAGACATGGCTGGGTGCAGTGGCTCACGCCTGTAATCCCAGCACTTTGGGAGGCTGAGGCGGGTGAATCACAAAGTCAGGAGTTCGAGACCAGCCTGGCCAACATGGGGAAACCCCATTTCTACTAAAAATACAAAAAATTAGCTGGGCATAGTGGCGGGCGCCTGTAATCCCAGCTACTCGGGAGGCTGGGGCAGGAGAATTGCTTGAGCCCAGGAGGTGGAGGTTGCAGTGAGCCAAGATCTCGCCACTGCATTCCAGCCTGGGCAACAGAGTGAGACTCTGTAAAAAAACAAAAACAAAAACAAAAAACCCCAAAAATCTAGTAAGACATACAAAGAAAAAAGAAAGCCTGGCCCATACACAGGGGGAAAAGTAGTCAATAGAAACCATTCCTGAGGAAACCTTGATGCTGTATTTAAGAGACAAAGACTTTAAATCAGTTATGTTAAATATGATCAAAGAATATGATCAAAGAACGATACAAAACCATTTCTAAAGAACTGAAAGTATCAAAATGATGTCTCACCAAATAAAGAATATTAGCAAAAAGAAATAAATAAAATAACCAAATAGAAATTCTGGAGTTGAAATCTACAATAACTGAAATAATAAATTTTCTGGAGGTGCTCAACATATCTGAGATGACAGAAGAAAGAACCAGCCTGGCCAACATAGTGAAACCCATCTCTACTAAAAATACACAAATTAGCTAGGTGTGGTGGCACATGCCGGTAATCCCAGCTACTCGACAGGCTGAGGCAGGAGAATCGCTGGAACCTGGGAGGTGGAGGCTGCAGTGAGCTGAGATCATGCCACTGCACTCTAGCCTGGGTGACAGAGTGAGACACCATCTCGAAAAAAAAAAAAAAGAATCAATGAACTTGAAAATAGATCAGTTGAGATTATCCAGTCTGAGGAACAGAAAGAAAAAAGAATGAGGTAAAATAACACAGCCTATGGGACAACAGCAAATGTATCAACACATGCCTAATGGGAATCTGAGGAGGAGAGGAAAGACAGAAAGGGTCAGAAAGAATATTTGAATAAATAATGGCTATTTTTAATCAGATTTCATCCCCAAATATGATGAAAAAATATTAATTTACACAGGAAGCTCAACAAATTCCATGCAGGATAAACTCAAAGAGATCTAGTCCTAGACATATCATAGCAAATTGAAAAAAAAAACAGCCATAGTCAAAGAGAGAATCCAGAAAGAGAGAAACAAATAATCATATACAAGAAAGCCTCAGAAAGATTAACAGTCAATTGTTTTTTCATATAAACCATGGAGGCCAAATGGCAGTGGGATGACATATTTGAAAGATTGAAAGAGAAAGACTATCAACCAAAAATTCTAAATCCAGCAAAACTGTTCTTCAAGAATGAAGGAGAA
This sequence comes from Homo sapiens, assembly GCF_000001405.40. Taxonomy (NCBI): domain Eukaryota; kingdom Metazoa; phylum Chordata; class Mammalia; order Primates; family Hominidae; genus Homo; species Homo sapiens. The sequence goes on along the minus strand of NC_000020.11, from coordinate 2,631,497 downwards.
ATTAAGTCATTCCCAGATAAAAACCAAGAGAAGTAATCACTAGCAGACCTACTCTGTAAGAAATGCTAGAGGGAGCTCTTTAGGTTAAAACGAAAGGACACTAGACAGTAACTTGAATCTACATGAAGAAATAAAGAGCACTAGTAAAGGTAACTACATGGGTTAACATGAAAGCTAGTATCAATGTAGTCTTTGTAGCTCTTTTTTCTCCTGTCTTATTCAGTTGGCATAAAATGTATAAAGATGTAATTTGTGTGGCAGAAACAACCTGAAGGAGAGTGGAGGGAATGGAGTTGTACAGGGACAAGGTTTTTGTATACTATTATAATTAAGTTGGTATTAATTCAAAGTAGTTTGTTATATTAATTATAATCTCCAGGGCAATCACTGAGAAAATAACTAAAACAAAATATAGTTAGAGAAATGACGTGGGAACTAAAATTATGTACTAAAATATTTAACCCAAAAGAAAGCAGTAATAGAGGAATAAAATAACAAAAATACATAAGACATATAGAAAACAGCAGACATAAATGTTAACTTATTGGTAATTAAATGTAAATGAATCAAACACTCCATATAAAAAGCACAGATTGACAGAATGGATAAACACTATGCTTCAGCTATATGCTTTTCCAAAGAAGCACACTATATTTTATTTCATTTATTTATTTAGAGAGAAGGTCTCAGTCTGTCACCCAGGGTGGAATGCAGTGGTACAAACATGGTTCACTGCAGCCTCAACCTTTTCAGTTCAAGCAATCCTCCACCTTTGTCGCCTCCCAAGTAGCTGGAACTACAGGCATGTGCCACCACACTCAGTTAATTTTTAAAGTTTTTGTAGAGATGGGTCTTGCCATGTTGCCCAGGCTGATATCAAACTCCTGGGCTCAAGCAATCTTCCTGCCTCAGCCTCCCAAAGTGCTGGTATTACCAGCATGAGCCACCACACCCAGCCAAAAAATGCACACTTCAGATTTTTAAGGTAATAGTAGATTGAAAGTAAAAGGATGGGAAACACATTAAGACAAAAATTGTTAGAGACAAATAGGATTATTTTGTAATTGTAAAAGGGTCATTTCATCAAGAAAATGTAATAAGTAAAAACATATATGCACCTAACAACACAGCCTTAAAACATACGAAGCAAAAACAGAATTTAAGGGAGAGATAATGGACAATCCAATAATAATAGCTGGAAATTCAATGCTTTACTTTCAGTAATAGAAACAATTAGAAGGTCAACAAGAAAATAGTAGACTTGAACAACTCTAAAAGTTCTATCCAATGCAATCGACTCCTTTTCCTGAGCCTTGAATTTATCAAGGCTCAAGTTCAAGATTTATTGTCTTCTACAATCCTAATTCCTTCTTCTTCTAAATATTTTTTGGACTTATTATTTGTCATTATTTTTAAGTCTTACTGATTAGGTGTTTTAAGTTCAGTGTCAAAGCATATTTGAAAGTGGTTCCTTATTGTCTGCATTAGGGATCAGCAAACTTTTTCTGCAGAGGGCCAGGCAATAAATATTTTAGTCTTTCTAGACAATACATTCCTTATCACAACAAGTAAATTCTGTCTTTTTCTGTGAAAAACAGTCATAGATAATAAATAAATGAATGAGCATGAATATGTTCCAATAAAACTTTATTTAACAAAATCAAGTGTGGTCCGGATTTAGCTTGTGGACTACAGTTTGATGACCCCTGGTCTACACCAAAGGAAAAAGATTCTGGCTTAGATAGCCATTATACAGGCTGTTTACTGCATAAAAGGCACCTGACTAAGGGGGTGACTGCTGGCTGAAATCTATCCATATTCTGTTTGTCAAATGTGCCCCTTGGCATGGGCCTACCTCCGTCTGAAGGAGTGGGCACCTTTAAAAAATTTGCACAAGGTACTATATGGGCTAGTAATGGCCCTAAATTCACCACCACCTTTTGAGGTCACTTTTTTTTTTTTTTTTTTACTTCTGTAAGAAATCAATAATTAGAAAAGTTACTCCACTTTCCTAATTATTGATTTCTTATACCTATGTTACAATGACTTACATTCCCTGGTTGTTTTCTTCCTTATTTCATGAATATACTTATCTCAACTCTCCAAAAAAGCAGTACTGTGCTTAACTGAAAACATTAAAAGCACTCCCCACCCTGTAAATGCAGGAAAAATACAAAAATATATTTCATCACCAAATATTAATTAACTTGTTTTTCCCATGGAAGGTACTAATTAATCCTACAGAGAAAAAAAGAGATCTAAGAATTAAATAAAATATAACATTTTCATTGTTTACAAATGAGAAAATGACCTGGAAGATTCAAGAACTTTGGTTGAGTAAATATGATAAACAATACACTCATAGGGTGACTGTATTAGCCTGTTTTCTTTTTTTTGAGATGGAGTCTCACTCTGTCGCCCAGGCTGGAGTACAGTGGCGCGATCTCGGCTCACTGCAAGCTCCGCCTCCCGGGTTCACGCCATTCTCCTGCCTCAGCCTCCCGAGTAGCTGGGACCACAGGCGCCCGCCACCACGCCCGGCTAATTTTTTGTGTTTTTAGTAGAGACGGGGTTTCACCGTGTTAGCCAGGATGGTCTCGATCTCCTGACCTCGTGATCTGCCCGCCTCGGCCTCCCAAAGTGCTGGGATTACAGGCATGAGCCACTGTGCCCGGCCTTATTAGCCTGTTTTCATACTGCTATAAAGAACTACCCAAGACTGAGTAATTTATAAAGGAAAGAGATTTAATTGACTCACTGTTCAGCATGGCTGGTGAGGCCTCAGGAAACTTACAGGTGGAAGGTGAAGGGGAAGCAAGGCACCTTCTTCACAAAGTGGCGGGAAGGAGAAGTGCCGAGCAAAGTGGGAAGAGCCCCTTATAAAACCATCAGATCTTGTGAGAACTCACTCACTATCACAAGAACGGCACGGGGGGAACTGCCTCCATGAACCAATTACCTCCACTTGGCCCCGCCCTTGAAATGTGGGGATTATGGGGATTACAATTCAAGATGAAATGTGGATGGGGGCACAAAGCCTAACTATATCAGTGACTGAATACAAAATTTATATATAGAAAATAAATAACATTTACATAGAAAAACAAAAACTAGTTAGAAAGTATGATGAAAGAGCTATCCTAATTTATCATAACAAAAAGAGAAATGCAGAGGAATACATTTAATAAGAAATGTGCATGAAATTTATGAAGAAAACTTAAAAATATTGAGAGACATAAATGAAAAAATGATAAGGAATACAGTATTCTTGGATTGGAAAACTTAACAACATAGGTGTGCCAATTCTTTCTGGATTTTTTTTTTTTTTTTGAGACAGAGTCTCGCTCTTTTGCCCAGGCTGGAGTGCAGTGGCATGATCTTGGCTCACTGCAACCTCTGCCTCCTGGGTTCAAGCAATTCTCCTACCTCAGTCTCTCAAGTAGCTGGGATTACAGGCACACACCACCACAGCTGGCTTATTTTTGTATTTTTAGTAGACATGGGGTTTCACCATGCCGGCCAGGCTGGTCTCAAACTCCTGACCTCAGGTGATCTGCCCACCTCGGCCTCCCAAAGTATTGGGATTACAGGTGTGAGCCACCATGCTCGGCCTTCTTTCTGAATTCTAATAAAAATGATCACAGATTATTTTTGTTGTTGTTTTGGTGCTAGGGAGCCTGCCTCTGTGGAAAATCAAATGAAGAAAGAAAAGACTTCTTTTTCTGGTCTTGACTAAGGGACTTGTATTGGTCCAGCTCTCCAGAGAAAAACAACTGTAAATGCTGAGCAAAATTTACAAAACTGTAGTTTAAGACATGGGAGAGTGACAGGCAGACTAAAGGGACTTGATGCTTGAGAGAAGGGAAGCATGTGAGGTGAGCTCCACATTCCTCCAGGGTTTCTCCCTGAGAGTATTTTCCAATTTGTGACCCAGAAGCAGAGTCCAAGCAGAAAGTGGAAATCTTACAATGTGGAGAAGATGCAGGTCAGAGTTAATTACTGCCACAGTCTTTGGGACTTGAGGGGCAGAATCCCAGAGAAGAACAAATTGCAGATAAATAAGCCAAACTCTGTGTACAAATTGCCCTCAAATGATTGACCAATTCTTCAATTGCTTCAGGAAGCCCAGAAGAAAATGACACCAGAGAGGCTGAAGAGCAGAGCAGAGATTTCACAGTGGCTGTAGCAGTACTACTGGAGAAAAAGAATAAGCAAAGACGGAAGAATTGGGAAAAGAGAGAATGGGTTTTAAGCCCTGCCAAGGTGGAGGGTGGTGGAGGCCAAAAGAATGAGGGTCGTGATCAACTCAGTATACGACTGGAGGCTATATGAGTAAACAGCAAGCTGTTCTCATGAATGCAGGATGTTGGCAAGCTGACAACTATGTCGGCACCCAGAAGGAATGCTGAGGGCAGTCACGCCCCAGGCACAGTGTTTCTTGTGGTTAGGCACATCTGAGGCCTGTTAGCAATGATGTGAACCCGTGATCAATCAAACAGCTGACCAATCGTTACCTCCTCCTCCCTGCTCTTTCTACCCAATAAATACGAAGGGCTGTAGAAGCTCAGGGCTGCAGAAGCTCAGGGCTGCCTTTGCTCACTAGAAGCAAGGAGTCCCCTGACCCGTTCTTTAAAACAAATCCTTTTTTTCTTTGTCTTCATTTCTGTGTTCGTCCTACTTCGTTCAGTCCCGTAGTAACTGTCACAGGAGGGAATTGGTAAACACTGTAGGCTTTCAGTTGAGACCCCTAAAAGACTGTGCTCAATAGTAAGGATCACATTGTAGGAGTAAGGTCAGTGTCTTGGAAATAGGGCAAAACTGAAATAAATCAGCCCTGAGAAAGCCCAAAGCTAGCAATAGCAAACTATTTTCCAAAGATGGCCACAATACTATGACTCCTGTCTTACATGTGCTTCTAGAATCTTGTCATTGCCTCATCAAAAGATAAGTCTATATTTCTTTCTCTTGAACCTGGGTATCCCTTTGTGATTGCTTCAATAGAGTATGGCAGGAGTAAGTAAAGATGCCATGTATATCCACTGCATTCTCTTGGGATGCTTGCTCCTGAAACTCAGCCACCATACTATGAGGAAGCCCAAGCAGCTTGTGAGAAGGAAGTGAGGCCTCCAGTGCCAGCTGGCCAGTCATGTGAGTGACCATCTTGAAAGTGGGCCCTCCAGCCTCCAGCTGAGCTGACCCAGATGATGTTGAGTAGAGAGGAAAAGAATGATTCCTGCTAAGTCCTACCCAAATTGCAGATTCATTAATAAAATATTATTTTTCAGTTTTGGGGGTTGTTTCTTATGTAATAATAGATAGCTAAAACATCAAGTCTTGACAGGATTAAGTGATCTCCTAGTATTCCATTTGCCCTTCAGGAAAAAAAACCCATCCCTTTGGGGAAAGATAACATTATTCACAGCCTCTATAATTTTTCATCCACATGTCTGACATCTAGTAAAAATTACATGCCATGATAAAAGTAGGGCTGAGGATAAACAAGAGGAAAACAAATGACAACAAAAATACACCCAGGTGGTTCAGATATTGGAATATCAGACTGGGATTTTAAAAGTAATTATAACCACTATGTTCAAGAAAATAGAAAGCTGGAGAATTTCACCGGAGAGTTGGAATTTATAAATAACAGTCCAAAGGGAATACAACCACTTTGGAGAGCAATTCTGTAAGATCTAAAAAGATTGAAGAAACACATGCTGATGACCCACAATTCTGCTTCTAGATGTCTACCTTAGAGCAACTCTCAGAATTGTGCAAGGAGATATATACAAAATGTTGGCTGGAGCGCAGTTTGCAATAGCCGAAAAGTGGAAACAGCCTAACTATCCCTATGCAGAGGAATGGATAAACTGTGGCTTATTCATGAGATGGAACATAGTAGAGCCTTCAAACATGTGCTCATGTATCCGCATGGATAAATCCCCCAACATAATGTTGTTTGAGGAAAAGCATGTAATGTGAGTCATTCATGAAAAGGTTTAAAACTCCGGAAACAGTACTATACACACATGTGATTAAAAAGTACAAAATATGCATGGAAATAATTAAATCTAGTCTGTATAATAGTTACCTTTGGGGAGGGAGGAAGAAAGAAGGATTGAGTGGGGCTTGAAGTGCATCTGTAATGTTTTATTTCTATTACGAAGAAAGATAAACCTGAAGTAAATATTGCAAAATGTTAACATCTGTTGAATCTTGTGATCGTGTACATGGTTGTCTGTACTCATTTGTATGCTGGGAATATTTCATAATTTTTAAAAAAGCATGCCAAAATAAGATTTTTTTAAATAAAGAAAAAATGCTAACATTTTTACTAGCACATTTTTTGATGGCAACAATTCCAATCCAAGACTCTGGCTTCCTGCCTTTCTTCCCTAGTTCTTTCCTTGAGCATTTACTGTTTGCCTGCTATGCTCTAGGCATTAGGCTGGCACCGGGGATACAGAGATTTTCGAACTTGTTCTCTAATGGTTGTTGAGGGGGACAGTGATGAAGGAACCAGCTTGTTCCAGTGTATAAGCTGCTCCATCGAGTAGTGCTGTGGGCCCAGCCAGGATCAGGCCGAATCACCGTTCAGCTTCCTGATAGGCTCAGAGCCCACAGGACTTTGATATTTCTAGTGAGCATTTTAGTGGGAGTTGTTGCAGATACTGTCAGGGCTCACCCAAATTTTCAGTGTGCTCCAAAAGACTTGCACTTGCTGGTGCCCTCATCTCTGTTACCAGAAGCTTCCCTTCCCTCTTGGACCCCTCACTCACACCCCTTGAAGCCATTTTACCCATGAATGACGCTGGGAGCTGGTCTATAAATGCCTCGGATCCTTTGCCCTTAGGGAGGGCTGAGTCTGAGGCACACTGCCTCCCAGAATTCTCACAGTGATAACCATGCATTTTCCTTTCCCTTCCTTGTCTCAAGTCCTCACCCCCTCCCTAATAAAATACTTACACTTGAATCCTTGTCATGGATTCTGCTTCTGGGGAGTGCAGACTAAGAAGGCAAGATGAAAAGGACCTGCCAAGGAAGTCTCAAATTCAAGGAGAAGTTTCCGTGGGGTGGAGCCATGGGTCCTGGCTAACTTACAACATCAGCAGGATGGCTGGGATGATCAGGCCTGGATTGGCGAGGAAAGCAAAGATCTTGCCCAGGAAGGTTGGGAAATCGTTTTCAATGGTCTCTTGGAGGACATCGTACATTCTGTTTTTCCCACTGGAAAAAGGAGAGGACACAATATAACATGCTGCCATGTGCCTGTGGCATTCACAGCTGTGTCCATGGCCCCCCTACCCAGGTCCAGGGCTGCTGCCTGCCACTGCTTTCCTGGAAGAACCAGAGCTCTGCTCCAAATGAACTGCAAGTAAAAAATTCCCCCTGAGGGGCTGCCATTCTGGCTAGGGTGACAGCTGGGTCGGCACACGGCTCACCGGCTTTCTATCCTAAGTAACTTACAACCTCTTAGCCTTCACTGGTCTTTTGTGTCTGACACCTTCCTCAGCCAGAAAAAAATGGTTTTCCTCATGTATTCTAACTGGAGAAATTGTCTGTGTTTGTAGCTACCAGGCCAACATGGAGCTTCCTTTGGGCCTGGGAAACAGTTCTGCAGAAGCTGATGTGCTGGACAACCTGAGTGTCTCTCAGAAATACCTAGAATTAACCTTCAGATTTTAAGTCTAGGAGATATTGGATCACCTAGGACAGGCTCCTGGACAGTTCACAACTGTAATTTTTATTTTCTTCAAATACCTAAGAACCATTATGCAGATTTACTTCTACAAATGCTGGCCCAGAGACTCCTGGATGCTGCTGGCTCTTGGTTGATAATTTTGGTGCCAAGAGGTGGAATACGGGGTTTGAAATTCCTGGTTTAAATCCTTGATCCCCCATTTATCACTGGTGAGACACGTGGACAATTATTCTCTCTCTCTCTGTCTTTTTTTTTTTTTTGATGGAGTCTCACTCTGACACCCAGGCTTGAGTGCAGTGGCACAATTTCAGCTCACTGCAACCTCCACCCCCGGATTCAAGCAATTCTCCTGCCTCAGCCTTTCAAGTAACTGGGATTACAGGTGAGCGCCACCACGCCTGCCTAATTTTTTGTATTTTTAGTAGAGATGGTGTTTCACCATGTTGGCCAGGCTGCTCTCAAACTTCTGACCTCAAATGATCCGCCCACCTCAGCCTCCCAAAGTGCTGGGATTACAGGCGTGAACCACTGTGCCCGGCCTGACAATTATTCTCTTTCTGCTTGTATTCATATCATGCCCTGGTTCTCCCCACGAAAGCTGTGCTGTCTGATGTGGCTATTAAAAATAAAAATTAAGATGAAGTCAAATTTGAAATTCAGTTTCTTAGTTACACATTTCAAGTGCTTAATAGTCATATGATTAGTAGCTGCTGTGTTAGAAATGCAGATATGGAATGTTTTCATCATTACAGTAAGTTCTATTGGATGTTCAATATCTGCAGAAGTTCAATACCTTTGGGCAAGGTATTGAAAATTTCTCTGCCCCAGTTTCCCCATCTGTATAATGTAGTATAATAATACTATAGTATAATATGGTATTTTAAGTATAATAATTGTATTTATCTCAGAAGATTGTTTAGAGGATATAGATGAGAATTGATATAAAACATTGAGTGTAGTGCTGTTAAGTTATAAGCGCCCTTCAAAATTTTGCAGCTAAACATTTTCTGTGTAAAGTATAGATGAGGAGTTCACCGACAATGGCTCATGGACAAATTCAGCTTGTTACCTGTTTTCTTTTTCTTTCTTTTCTTTTCTTTCTTTCTTTTTTTTTTGAGACAGAGTCTCTCTCTGTCGTCCAGGCTGGAGTGCAGTGGTGCAATCTCAGCTCACTGCAACCTCTGCCTCTGGGTTTCAAGCAATTCTCCTGTCTCAGCCTCCAGAGTTTACACACAATGCCTGGTGGATTACAGGCAGGCACCACTACGCCCGGCTAATTTTTGTATTTTTAGTAGAGACGGGGTTTCGCCATGTTGGCCAGGCTGGTCTTGAACTCCTGACCTCAGGTGATCCACCTGCTTTGGCCTCCCAAAGTACTGGGATTACAGGTGTGAGCCACTGCGCCTAGTCTGTCACCTGTTTTCATATGGTCTGTGAGCTAAGAATCATTTTTACATTTTTAAGTAGTTGAAAGCAAGTCAAAACAGGAATACTATTTTGTGACATGTAAAAATTGAAGTATAAAATTAAAATTTTAGTGTCTGTAAATAAAGTATTATTGGAACACAGCCATGCTCACTCATTTTTTGTGCTATAATGACAGGGAAGAGCAGTTGTGTCAGAGACCATTTGTGGCCATCTCATTGCTTACAACTGTTGCCCAGCACACCACAAATTGCAATGACGCAGTTATAGCATGATGGCATTTCAAGTGCCAGGCACATCACTGTATGACAATGTTTCATTTATTATTATTATTATTTTTATTTCCAGTGCATACCCGCCATGTACAAATGAGAAAAGTTAAGTTTACGTGTTAGGCTTTTATGTGACAGTTGAATGTAGATTATTTTGTCGTTGAATTAGATGGTGTATCAGATTCTAGTGCCTGCTGTTTGTCACGCTGGTGGCTTAAAACAATACAAATTTAATATCTTACAGTTCTGGAGGCCAGAAGTCTGAAAGGGATTCACTGGGTTGAAACTAACCTGGGGCAGGCATAGGATAACAGTTATAAACTTTCCAATACCAAAAAGGAGAAAATGGAAGGAAGAAAGAATCACCAACCTCAAGCAATTTTGAAATCCAATCAGCCAAGCTCCATTAGGGGTTTTATTTTTTATTTTTTGAGACAGAGTCTTGCTCGTTGCCCAGTCTGGAGTGCAGTGGCATGATTTCGGCTCACTGCAACCTCTGCCTCCCGGGTTCAAGTGATTCTCCTGCCTCAGCCTTGCGAGTAGCTGGAATTATAGGCACTTGCCACCACGCCTGGCTAGTTTTTGTATTTTTAGTAGAGATGGGGTTTCTCCATGTTCAAAACCAACAGCACAGAATCTTTAAATCTCTGCCTGCTTCTATGGTCACATCACCTTCTATTTTTCTGTAGTCAAATCTCCCTCCCTCTCCTTCCTTTTTTTTTTTTTTTGTTGTTGTTGAGATGGAGTCTCACCCTGTTGCCCAGTCTGGAGTGTAGTGGCATGATCTTGGCTCACTGCAACCTCCACCTCCCGGGTTCAAGCGATTCTCCTGCCTCAGCCTCCCGAGTAGCTGGGATTACAGGCACGCACCACCACACCTGGCTAATTTTTTGTATCTTTAGTAGAAACGGGGTTTCACCATGTTGGCCAGGCTGGTCTTGAACTCCTGATCTCGTGATCTGCCCGCCTCAGCCTCCCAAAGTTGTGGGATTACAGGCGTGAGCCACTGCACCCGGCCTCCCTCCTTCTTATAAGAACACTTGTGACTTAGGGCCCACCTGGCTAATCCATGATGATATCCCCATCTCAAGATTCTAGGAACTAGAAAATGAGTTATTTACTCTCAAAAATAAAATGGTGGGACAGGCATAGGATAAAAGTTGTAAACACTCCATTACCAAAAGGGAGAAAATGGAAGGAAGAAAGGAATCACCAGTTCCAAGCAATTTTGAAATCCAATCAGCCAAGCTCCATTAAGTTTTAAAGTCCTGAGAATAATCCTCTGGGCTGCAGACTCTGCCCTACTGTGCCCATAGCTTTGCCCTTGTGGGTTCACAGTTCTGCCCTTGGAAGAACACTTCCACCCTTCCTTCTTCTTGAAGGATAGCACATGTCTCAGCTGAGTAAATTTTATCAGTCTGTTTCCCGCCACAGAATTCTGGGAGGCCAATGATCTGCCTTTATTTTGTCTTCTTTCTGTTTCTTTCAGTCCAAGTTGGTAATGTTTCCGCTGATATAATATTGTCAAAAACTGTGTGAGTTTTTCATGTATGTCATGAGAATGTACTCTGTTAAAGAAGAGAGTCCCACATGATCTTTTCTGGATAATCCTATTTCTATTCCTGACTTCTGATGTGATGGTTGAGGCGATGCATTAGTCACACGATTAGTCAGAGTTTTCTGTGTGAATGATATTCAGACCTTTTGATCTTTCAGAAACACTAGCAAAAGGTTATCCAGACTCACTCTTGGCTTTCTTTTTACAGCACATTCTCATGACAGTGAATCTAGTTTTAGCATATTTTGCAATCTAGATAAGGCTGAGAATTTCCAGAATCATCAAATCCTGGTACTTTCTTGTTTATCAGTTACTTACTCAACATACCTCTTTCCTTGCACATTTTCTATAAGCAGCATGAAGAAACCAGGCTGTACCTTCAATACTTTGCTTGGGAATCTCTTCAGCTAAATACCCAAGTTCTGTTTTTTTCTTCTCTTCTCTTTTCTTTTTTTCTTTTTTGAAGCAGAGCCTTGCTATGTTGCCCAGGCTGGAGTGCAGTGGTGCAATCATGGCTTATTGCAACTTCCACCTCCTGGGATCAAGCAATCCTCCCACCTCAGCCTCCCAAGTAGCTGGGACTACAGGCACGTACCACCATGCCTGGCTAGCCAAGTTCCTTTCTTATAAGTTCAGTTTTCCATACAACTGTAGGAGATGGTTCTTATCATAGTATAATTGTCCCTGCTGACCTCCTACCCAGTGACAGATGGGAAGCTGAGAAAAAGGGGGCTGGCATTTGCACCCAGGGCCCAGCCCTCCAAACCTTGCTTAGGAAGAAGCCAACAGAGGCTTCTTCCATTCGGTTCTCCTTTCAGCCTGGCTAAATCTTAGGCCATCTGCACTTCAGCACATTCCTTCTGTTCTAGACTGATCCCCTCCTTCTGTGTGAACACTGTTTTCCAGATCACACCCTGCTGGAACACTCCTGCTAACATCCCTGGGCTCCAACCATCACAGGCCTTTATCTAGTAAAGTCCTTTATGAACTGAGAAAGACCGGATCAGCATTTCTCAAAGTGTGTTTGTGCGGGACATGAGTGACTTTATTTTACATGCTAATCTGCCTTGTAACTTCTAACTAACCCTGAGTCTGAGAGTGCCTCCCACATGACTAGCAGATGTATTACTCTTTATGTAGGAACTCTTATTCCTACATAAAGTTTCCTCCAAAACAACCCTTGATGCTGCTGCAGAAATCACAGGCTGTGATGTTCAGAGCCACCTATACATTCCTTCCAGAGCACGCATACTTTCCCCAAGATAGAAGCCCTGGGCCTGGGGGATTGAGGTGTGGAGATCTACCTGTCTCACGGCTGCTTGTGACCATGCATCTGACTGTAAGTTACCCCTAATAAATCACCCAAAGCCGACAAACTGCATTTGTCTCCTTCCTCCTTTGGATTCTAGGCTCTTTGGGCATTTAGGGGCTGTTTTGCATATACGACCCTTTTACGGGACAGGGTTTCTCCTCATTGGCAGGCAGGGTTGGGACTAGAGTGAGGCGGGTGAGGCCCTGAGTGCACAATTTAAGGAAGTAATGCCCTCAGGGTTGCTCATGTGCAGTGTAGGGCGTCACTCACCTGCCTCACCCTATTTCCAGCCCTGGATGAGTGATCCATGCAGAAAGGGTTCTGTGGTCAATAAGGACGGAGACACTAGCTTACAGGTGTTACCTCATTGCATGATTCTTCAGAGCCTTTAACAAAGGAGTGTGCATTGAGCATTTCTAAGTGAGATAATGGCAGACAGAAGGGGCAGTACGTCCTAAACTGCTTTAACCACAGAACCTCTCTTTACGGAGTTGGCAGAGGGCTTTGTTTTCAGAAGGTCAGGCATTTGGAAAGAGAACAGTAGATGCACATTATCTCTTGATCTACCTCCTTACATAATTATTTGTCTTTTTATACAATATCTAGTCTCCCAACTAGCTTGACTTATGTATTGAACCCCCAGGCCAATGCTCTGGAGAGCAGAGAGCTCAGTTGAGGTCTGTCAAGAGTCCACTGCAGCTGCTTCACATTTAAACGGCACGTGTAAGTGTATGGTAATTCATCCTCAGAATATCCACCATTACTTATCCTATGGTAAAGTAATCCCAGGTAGTAAGTTATCCATGTGTTAAAAGGGTAGAACTGTGCTGTCGAATATGGTAGCCATTAGCCATGTGTGGTTATTTTAATTGAAATTAAGAACGAAATCCTGTCATTTGCAGCAACATGGATGGAACAGGAAGTCATTATGTTAAGTGAAATAAGCCAGGCACAGAAAGACAAATATTGCATTTTCTTACTCACATGTGGGAGCTAAAAAAGTGGATCTCATGGAGGTAGAGAGTAGAATGAGGTGATCAGAGGTTGGGAAGGATAGAGAGGAGTGGGGATGAAGTACGGTTGGTTAACTGGTACAAATATACAGTTAGATAGAGGGAAGAAGTCCCAGTGTTCCATAGCACAGCAGGGAGATGACAGTTAACAATAATTCATTGTATAATTTCAAAGTTCCCAACACAAAGAAAAGATAAATGTTTAGGCCAGGCACGGTGGCTCACGCCTGTAATCATAACACTTTGGGAGGCCGAGGCAAGTGGATTGTTTGAGGCCAGGAGTTCAAGGCCAGCCTGGGCAACATGGCAAAACCCCGTCTCTACTAAAAATACAAAAATTAGTTGGGCATTGTGGTGCATGCCTGTAGTCCCAGCTACTTGGGAGGTGGAGGCATGAGAATCGCTTGAACCTGGCAGGCAGAGGTTGCAGTAAGCTGAGATGGCACCACTGCACTCCAGCCTGGGTGACAGAGTGAGACTCTGTCTAAAAAGAATAAAAAATAAATGTTTGATGTGATGGATATCCCAGTTACCCTGATTTGATCATTATATATTGTATACATGTATCCAAATATCACATGTACCCCCAAATATGTACAACTATCAGTTAAAAATTAATAAATAAATGAGAAAAATACATGAGAAATTAATTTTCTCAGTTCCTCATTTCAAGCACTCAACGGCCACAGGTGGCTGGTGGCTACTGAAATGAACAGCGCAGACACAGAACGACCTAACATTTCCATCCTGGCAGAAAACCCTCTTAAATGGCATCGGTGATTCACCCAAAGTTCCATGGCCTTTTACAGGCTGGCATGAAACCAGAACTGGAATTCTGGGCCGAGGCCCTCTGAGCAGACTGCCTCGGGAGGGGAGGTGCTCCCGGGCAACTGAGACTCTGCACCTGAACGGCCCGCAGTCAAAGGAGGGTGGGAGGGACATGATGGTGTAGGCCACCGGCAGGAGGCTGAGGAAGAGCACCAGCAGCAGGAGGCCCATGTAGAAGTTGTTGGATCGGGAGGCTTTGAACACGCGTTCATGGGGTACGTTGCTGCTCATCACCGCCCAGCACTGGAAGTACATGGAGGTCAGCAGGCGCAGCACATTAATGCCCACCAGGCCTGGAGCATAGAAGGAGCCCATCCTGGAATGGCAGAAACCAAACACCTGGTTGGCTGGACAGCAGGGAAGGCGAGGGAAGGGTGATAGAAGGAAATGGGACGGATGGGTTAGGGGCATGAGGCCGAGCTGCTTTCCTGGCAAGTCCCCAGGTAAGGGGCCTCCCATTTAACCAGAATATCGATCATCAAGCCAGAACCATGCAGTCCTCAGGAGAGGGAGGCACTCCGAGCATTCCTGGCTTAAGCTCTGGCCAAGATTTTACCACTGACTCGCCCCCAGGCATCTAGCAAATTATACGGTCTCCTGCCTGTTTCTCCTCGGTTTCCATAAAACAGCATTGCTGCTCAGAAGAGTATTTGAAGTCCTTCAATTGAGAGAATTGGACAGTGGCTTGCAGCGAGCCCTTGGCACCTTGAAAGTCTTTGGCTGAAGTTATGTACCTCCTTGAACTCCCTTTTCAGAAGAGGGAGTTCCATAGTTCATTTACCTTCCACCTTCTCTTCCTTCTTTTCTCCCTCCCTCCTTCTTTATTTTCCTTTCCTCCTCTTTTCCTCCTCTTCTTTACTCCTTCCTTTTCCCTTTCCTTTGTCTTTCTTCCTTCTTCCCTTTTTCTTCCCTCTTCTCCTTCTCTCCTGCCTTCCTTCCTTTTCCTTTTCTCCTCCACCAACCCCTCTCCCTTTCTCTCTACTTCTATGGTAGCACATGGGTGGGCCAGAAACTGTCCTGCTTCTCATCTAGTCCCGCTCTTGATTTTTCATGTGAAAGAGGGGAGTTCAGAGAGGCAAGAGGACTTATCTAGCCTCTTCCAACTAGTTAAGTTGCAAAGTCTGGGATTCCAGTTTTTTGACTCCTTGGATGAGGCGATCACCAGATGAAATGGATAACTCACCAGATCATTCCTTGGTTGAAGATCAAACCCAGCACATTTCCACTAATATCAAACTCAGCATATGAAGGCTAGAGAGGGAGGGAGGGAGCGAGAGAGAGAGAGAAAAAAAAAAGCACGTTTGGTGAATTCAGCCAAACCCTACTACCAACCAACTGGCCAAGCCAAGGCCATTCCATCCCAAAGAGCCTGCTCTGGTAACTAGAGAAGAACCTTAGATTTAGCATTCTATTTCTTTAATATGTTTTCAACTTTTAAACAAAAAATTTGACATTCTCAAAGCTGAAACTTTAAAAATGCCTATTTCAGTAAACAAAAAAATGACAGTTTCTATCTTTCAGGCCTTGCAGGCTGACAGCGTGTTCTTGGGAAGACCCTCGCCTCTAACAGAACATTTTATCAACGTTTTAATCAGAAACATACCCTGAAATTATAATCAAGGAGAAATCTAATAAATAATGAAATGCAAATAATTAAATGAGGAGTCAAAAGAAAAGAAAGCTTAAAAACAAACAAAAACCAAATCATCCTTCCAACTCTTCTTTCTCCTTCTCTTCTTCCTCCAGTCTGAGAGCAGTTCACGGAAAGGAAAGCACCCAGCTTGGTTCATATTTTCAGCCTACCTCATTTGCAGTTTTCGTGATTTGTCCGAATATTTGAAAGAACATAAAATCTGTGAGCACTGAGGATATGAGGGTCCTCATGAAGCATGCTAAAGCCCACATCCCAATTTGTCTTCCAGAAATGGAGATAAAGGGAAATGAGAACACAAGAAGGAGAGATGAGAAGTTAGGAAAGAGACAAAGGAAGGGCCAGCATGCATGGATGGAAGAAGGAAACATGCATACATTAAGTCCACGGGGTGAAGTCTTGGATGTTTATTTATTGAGACGGAGTCTCGCTCTGTTGCCCAGGCTGGAGTGCAGTGGCACAATCTCAGCTCACTGCAACCTCTGCCTCCTGGTTCAAGTGATTCTCCTGCCTCAGCCTCCCAAGTAGCTGGGATTACAGGTGTGCAGCACCATGCCCAGCTAATTCTTGTATTTTTAGTAGAGATGGAGTTTCACCATGCTGGCCAGGATGGTCTTGAATTCCTGACCTCAAGTGATCCACCCACCTCAGCCTCCCAAAGTGCTGGGACTACAATGTGAGCCACCGCACCCCCACCCAGAATTTAAATTTTAATATTTTAAAATGTTAAAAAAAACACATATCTACTGGGTTTCATGTCCTACTTAGACAAATCTTCCTCACTCCAAGATTCTAAGTTTGTACATGCTTTCTTTTAGAAATTTATATTTTCATTTTTTTGATGTTTAAGACTTTGATGTGCCTAAAATTAATCTAGATGAAATGAATGAGGGATATAATCCCCCACATTTTTATATAATTTATATATATTTTAATATAATCCTTTCCCCCCAGTGTGTTTGAAAGTCTCCCTTTATCATAAACTAAAGGCCCATGTAGATAGTATCTATTTCTGGACTTTCTATTCTGTTCCATTGACATGTTGGTCTATTTTCTAGTACCAGTTTTAGTTATTATAGCTTTATCATATGTTTTAGTATTATGGTAAGTCTAGTTCCTTTTATTCATCTTTTTATTTTTTCTTTATATACTTTTTGAGACAGGGCCTCACTATGTCGCCTAGGCAGGAATGCAGTGGTGTGATCAAGGGATCAAGGGATCCTCCTGCCTTAGCCTCCTGAGTAGCTGGGATTACAGGCATGCACCAGCACACCCAGCTAATTTTTTATTTTTTGTAGAGATGGGGTCTTGCTAAATTGCCCAGGCTGATCTTGAACTCCTGGACTCAAGCAATTCTCCTAATTTGGCCTCCCAAAGTGCTAGGATTACAGGTGTGAGCCACCATACCTGGCCTTATTCTTCTTTTTAAATATTTTTTCTGGATATTCTCACATGCTTATTTTTCAAATGAACTTTAGTATTATTTGGAAATCGTGGTGATCTTACAAACAAATTTAAGAACAATGACCTCTTAGTAATATTGTGTCTTTCTATCAAAGATGTCATCCTCTTTGAGCACAAAGTTCTTTCATCTTCGTTCTCAGACAAGATTATGAAGCTTTCCTGGCTGCCGAGGAGCTCAGCAGACTTGTTTAAAACTGAGACTGGTGACTGAACGAAAAAAAATGTGACAGAAACCTGTACTGGGGCCCTTACCTGGGCCAGGCCAGGATGAGGGATACATAGGTCAACATCCTACGGAGCCTTTCACCAGGAGCTCAGGTAAGAGGTAGGTACCTTACATGCACACCAGTGACTGCAGGCTGGGCCAGTGAGGTGTTGTGGAAGAGACATGTACAGCACAGGTGCCTGAGCCAGAGATTCTGCCAGAGCATAGAAGGACACTACAGAGAGGAAATGACACACATTTACCAGGTAGGTGGGGAAGAGGGCTATAAGGGAATACAAGTCAAAGGAGGTTTCTCAAAGCATCATCCAGAAGACAGGACCAATGGTTATTGTGTTCTTGGTGTGTTCCAGGACTTCCTGAAATATTCGCCTCCACTGTCAGATTTCAGCCCCCATAATGAGAGTTGAGGCTGCTCAGATGCAATTCCCTATCAACCATTGGCTCAGTACTGGAGTGTGTGGTCCACTTTCCCCTAGGCCAAATGCCTCCATTTCCTAGAATAGAAGGTCACATTGTTCATTACACTGGGAAAAAGCAGTTTCCCTTATGAAGGCAAATAGGACCCTTAAAGGAAATACAAATTAAACACTTTACTACTCTACAGAGCAGAGACCGTCATTAAGCTTCCAAAGAAATGAAATGCCCAAGAATGCATCTGGCTATAAGTATCAAAGAAGATAGTTGAAATTCCTTTGTGCGGAATGTCCATGAAGTGGTGACCTACAAATCCAGCCTCCAAGTCCCAGCACCAGCAGTAGTTCATGAACCGCACAAAACAAGCCCGTAGGAAGTCCCCCAGCAGGATGGTGATGTACGTTACCAGCATGTCAGACACCGTCAGCCTCATGAATTCCTGCAGAGGAACACAGGAAGAGGGGGTGGTTGGAGACCTTGCCCACTTCTCCCACCCTCCCTGAGAGTTTGTTGAGAGTCTAATAAACTCTCCCCCACCCACCTGACTTTGTCTCTGTGACCCTCTGATCCTTTGTGTGTGAAGAGAGGCGACTCCTGGCTCTGGAAAATGCTTAATTTAGGTCCCAGCTCCACATTACCAATTGTATGGCTTTGGAATAATCTCTGAACCTCTTGAAGTTGATATTGATATCAATCTCAAAAGGCTATTGTGAAACTTAGTAATTATGTATGCAAATGCAAATTGCCTGTTAAATTGACTATGCCCAATGCATCGTAGTCATCATCACTAGGACCCGAAGGCCTTGCTTCCCCACTTATTCTGAAGTGCCAGCTGCCCCCACTAAGACCAAATGTGACCGTCAGTCACTGGAGACAATGCCTAGCTTTTTTCATCTTCTGCTAGTCAGATTTTTCTTTTTCTTTTTCTTTTTTTTGATATATAGAGAAAATAAAACAGGTTTTGCACAGAGGCACATAGAAGAAGGACCAAAAACTGAAGGACAAAGCTTTCTCTGCATTTGTAGAATAGACATAATTTACTATGTTTTTGGAAAAATTGAAAATATCTACCAGACACCAATCACAACCTTTGAGACACCAAAGAGATTTGGAGTTCCCAGGGGTCACAGGATCTGCTTTGGTCATTTTATTTCCTCCTAGATGATTATGAAATGTTTGCTGGATGAACAGCTGGTAAGTTTTCAGGGTTATTCCTCAAATGGAAACATCAAGGAGGGAATAACAAAGAACTGAGAACAGGGGTCACCTTTTTAGAGAGTGTAACTACTCACAATGCCCACAGCTGTCTCCCAGCAAGAACCCCGGGGCACATCTGCAGGGTGCAGGGGTGGTCGGGGGACACTCTCGTTCCAACCAGAAGAGTTGTAATAGTTAAACAGAGTCCAGTGAGTGATGTTCTTTATTGTCTCTTCATTAGCAAGCTAGAACAGAAGATGGAGGTGTGGGGTAGGAAGGAGCTAGGGATGGTCCAACTGTTTCCATAAGAACAGTGAAAGCCAGCAAATGCCACAACCCTACCATCTAGCTTCTGCTCTCCCCTGGACAGAGTCCTTCCAAAATTCCCTTCTCAGGCTTTCAATATGTACAGGAGAGGCTGTAGTTCTTGGGTCTTTCCCATGAAGTTATCTTCTACTCTAAGTCAGCATTCATCTGTCCGTCTGTCCATCCATCCACTTGTCTATTCATCCATCCATCCATCCATCCATCCATCCATCCATCCATCCACCCACCCACCCACCCACCCATCCATCCATCCATCCATCCATCCATCCATCCATCCATTCATCCATCTAAGCATTCAGCCATCCATTCATGCATCTATCCAGTCATTCATTATTCTCTTGAAAATAATTTATTCAGGGCTTCTTCTGTGCATATAAAGTAGTGGTGATACAAGAGTGACCAAGAGAGATGGAGGTTCGCTCAGAAAGATTAGAGTCTAGTAAATGATGGAGATGAACTGGCAATTACAGAACAGACTGATACGAGCTGTGAGAAATTCTCTCTGGGAAAAGGAGCATCCACATCACACAATGGGGGCCACAGAAGACTTCCGGGAGGCAGTGACAGCTGGGCCAAAACCTCAAGAAGGATTAGTCAACTAGTCAAACATGAGGAGAGGGGTGGAGAGAGAGGCAAGATAGAATTTTGCCCTGTGGCAGAAATGTGAGGCTCAGGAGGGTAGAGCAGTCTCCTGGGTAGGAGGGAAGCCAGAGATGAGTGGGGAGGAGAGGTTAGGGCCAGATTCAGTCACTTCCATGCTTAGAACAGTTTTCTGTTAGCATCAGGAAAAAGTTCCTACAGCTCAATAATAAGGAGGGAAGGGGTGGAGAAGAGGGGCATCAGCATCATCGGGCCCTCCTTTGCTCTAAATTTTTCACTCTTCTGCTCCACTCCAGTTCCCTGTTGACCCAGCTGTTCCCTCTGCCTTTTCCAATGTCTGCTAAGGTCCCCAGGGAGGGATCTGGAGCTCCTCCTGTGCACTGCCATGCTGCCCTGGGCTTGCCACTACTGAAGCACATCCCACAGCGTGCTGTAATGAAGTCTGTCTCCCAGCCCAGTGTGTGAACACACTTGGGACAGGACTGTGTCTTCCTGTCTGCTCTACCCCAGGGCCTGCCATTGTGGGTGCTCCATAATTGTGTGGTGAGCATTGATAAACGGTTAAGTAATGACATAGCCCCTTAGAGGACAATTACTTGGCTGTTAATCATTTATGGCAGCTCTGAAACAGTGTGGAAAAGGCTGAAGATAAAATATTAAGGTATCAAATGACATGTATATGATGTGAAAAAAGACAACCAGAGAAAAGGACAGTAAAAAACTATAGGAAAAGGTTAACAATGGTCATCTTTGGGTCATAGAGTCCAAGGAGTTTTTTTTTAATTTTATTTTTCTTAATTTACATTTATTTAATTAATATGAATTATATATAATGAAATTATTATATTAAAAAAGAAAATACTATGGGCACCAGGAATTGCAGTGGGGTGGGGGGTGTTGTGGTTTTTACCTTGAGGTGGACGTCATCCATCAGGGCCAAGAGAAATGTGTAGAGGTTCCCCAGGAAGAGTGCAAAGATGCGTCCCAGCTGCCACTTCAGTCCAGTGCGTGGGTGGTAATTCTCCAGGGCAGCGATGGTTTCAAACAGAGGGGGACAAAACATTCCAAGCAGGGACATCACGATCTCTACCTGAGGAATCAGGAAAGCCTACGTTGTGTCATCAACATTATACTTGTTTGGCTGCCATCTCTGCACTCCCATGGCCATCCATCTCCACTTCTCTGCTGCCCCCTCTGCTGCGCCTGGAGATGCCCTGGGGTCTACACAGCTTGCTGTGTGACCCTGGCAAAGGCATCAACATGCCCTGAGCACTTGGCCTGTGCTTGCATATCATAATTGCTGTGTGACCAGATGCTATAATGGTTGTTGTTACTAGTATTGATGAAAATAGCACTTTCTGGCCAGGCGCAATGGCTCACGCCTGTAATCCCAGCACTTTGGGAAGCCGAGGCAGGCAGATCATGAGGTCAGGAGATAGCCAGGAGATCCTGGCTAACATGGTGAAACCCCGTCTCTACTAAAAATACAAAAAATTAGCTGGGTGTGGTGGCATGTACCTGTAATCCCAGCTACTTGGGAGGCTGAGGCAGGAGAATTGCTTGAACCCTGGAGGCGGAGGTTACAGTGAGGCGAGATTGCACCACTGCACTCCAGCCTGGGTGACAGAGCAAGACTCCATCTCAAAAAAACAAAAACAAACAAAAAACAACTGCTCACCCAGTGGAAAGTAAATCCCTGCAAATTGCAAGTTGGTCAACTCTTCTCGGCTGGTCTTGACTATCCCACTCTCTCTCACACTGACCCTTGGCTTGGTTTCTCATCATCTCCGTACCTGTCCATGTAGTTCTCACCTGGAGAGCCATCACTGCCCCATATCTACCACTGCCCTTCATTATATGTTTGTGTAGTGTTCAGCCTAATTCCTGCCTTTGCCACAAAATTCCACTGCCTCTTCAGCTCTCATGGACAATTCCATCTGTAACCTAAAACATCTTATTTGATCACGGTATTCCTGCCTACTATTGTTTGTGCTTTGGTTTATTCTTGTTGAGCCTGCATCCTAAGGAAACTGCAATCCCCTTAAGGGTAGAATTCATCTTGGGCATCTTTTGAGTCCTTCTCACAGCTTAGTGACCCAGTGAAGGCTTTGTGGAAGGGACGTTTTTCCTTTCTTACTCTATTCCTCAGTTCTCCCATCCTACAGAGAGGCCCCCAAAGTCCCTGTCTTTCCCATATCTTAAACCCATTCTGACCAGGTCAGGAGCTACACTGGGGCCTCTAATCCACTGCTGGGAGTGTCTGAGTTGATGTCCAACTGCACTGATCCAGAGTGGGTTAGAGGTAAGCTTAGGCAATCAGGAATGAGGCCCCCAAAACAGACTCAGAGCCAGACAGGTACTGGGTCCTAATCCTGACTCCATTGCTAATAAGCTGTGTGTCTTAAACTTTCCGGTCCTCAGATATTTATGTGAAAACTAGGACTAAGGATGCCTACCCTGCCATAGTGCTATGAGGCATAAATAATAGGCATAGAGGTCTATTGTAGGTATTCAGTTAATAGTTTTCTCCTTTGTCTTTCCTCCATCTCTAATTTATTAAGCACTTACTATGTGTGAGTCACTGTGCCAAATTCTAAAGATGCAACAAAGGATAAAAAGTCACACACACTCTGCCCACAAGAACTTAAAGTAGATGTAAATAATTCCATAATAAGTTAATCATTACAAAGGTAAAAATGCTGCAAAGGGTAAATACTTTAAGTATATAATAGAAATAAGGATATAACATTTAAACTCATACCTGAAATTATTCAAGAGAGATGAGAGTGTGTGAGAGAAGGCATCTCAGTAGAACAGAGGCCAATGGTGCTGCAGTTTAGTGAAGATGGGAAGAGTAAGAGTGACTAAAGGTACAATTGGGGGCTAGGTGCAGTGGGTCATGCCTGTAATCCCAGCACTTTGGGAGGCTGAGGCAGGTGGATCACCTGGGTTCAGGAGTTTGAGACTAGCCTGGCCAACATGGCAAAACCTCGTCTCTACTAAAAATACAAAAATTAGCCAGGTGTGGTGGTGCGTGCCTGTAGTCCCAGCTACTTGGGAGACTGAGGCAAGAGAATCACTTGAACCTGGGAGGCGGAGGTTGCAGTGAACTGAAATCGTGCCACTGCACTCCAGCCTGGATGACAGAGCAAGACTTCATCTCAAATAATAATAATAATAATAATAATAATAATAATAATAATAATAAATAAAAATAAGGGTACAACTGGGAAGGTAAGTCAGGGAAAGCCATTTAGGACTTTATCCTGAGAGAAAATGATGGTTTTCATGGTGAATGCATCTTCATACTAAAAATAATAACTTGGAGTTCTGGGAAGATAATGATAGCCACAGCATGAATTTCTTTTTTTCTTTTTTTTTTTTTTAAGACAGTTTTGCTCTTGTTACCCAGGCTGGAGTGCAATGGCGCAGTCTTGGCTCACTGCAACCTCCGCCTCTGGGATTCAAGCAATTCTCCTGCCTCAGCCTCCCAAGTAGCTGGGACTACAGGCATGCGCCACCATGCCCAGCTAATTTTTTGTATTTAGTAGAGACGAGGTTTCACCATGTTGGCCAGGCTGGTCTCGAACTCCTGACTTCAGGTGATCCACCCGCCTTGGCCTCCCAAAGTGCTGGGATTACAGGCGTGAGCCACTGCACCTGGCCATCACAGCATGATTTTTGAATCTCCCGAATCCCCATGTAAAACTGGATAAAGCAATTAAATAATAAAATAAAAAAACACATAGACAATGAAGCTAGGTGTCCTAATGAATCCTTAAATACAAGTGGCTACAATACAATACAAATTACCAACAGCCACAAGTACTTACAGAGTTCATGTCTGGATGAGAGAAGGTCAAGAGAAACAGTGGGGTATCCAATGAATCTGAGAACAGGAGGATGTCAAAATGGCTAATAGGTACTCAATGAAAAGCATAGTGGAACAATCTGAGAACAGCAGCTGACACTGTGAGGAACTCTGCTCGGTCCAATAATAGGTGAGTGCAAGGTCATTCTTGGTTAATCTGGAGATGAGCTAAAACAGCCTGGGCCTCTTGAACTTTTGAAATTTGTCAGTTAAGCTCCCTAACAGGACAGGGCACAACATGAAGGAGACTATTCTGAGAACAGAATTGAAATTGAGCAGAGAGAGGGAATATAGATAAAGGAATGGGAAGGTCTAGATAAAAAGTAGAAAAGGGATGAGAGGCAGGAGCTCTCTCATCCAGCAAGCCACCATATATTTTGAAGACTTCATAAAAACAGTGGAAGAGAGAGCTCCGTTAACTTAGGAAAGTCATCCTGAACCATGCCTCACTAAAACTTCAGCAAAACTAACTTTATATAAAAATGAACAGTGGAAAAGTTTTTTCTAGGTCAAATCCCATACAAAGTTATTTCAAGGAAAAGAGAACAAGAAGTAGGTTAAACTTTCAGATAATGAAAACGCACCAAAAAGTAAGTTGTATAAAACAGTTAAAAAATTATAATGAGTATTCAAAAACAGAAAACTGAAAGATGTTAAGAAAATATAGGTCACAAAACAATATAAATAAAAATTAGAAAAACCCAGAAAAAGGGTGACAGAATACTGCAAAAAAAAAAAAAAAAAAAGAAAAAAGAAATTAAGGGAAAACTATATTAAAATTGAAGAATACCTAAGAGAATCACAATTGCAAAACATAATGACAATGACAAGAAAAAGATAAAAAGGGGGAAAGTTTTAAAAATAAAAAATATATGAAGAAAGAAGTTAATAGGATTCAGGAGAAAACAAGATATATTGAAGAGAGACAAAGAAGATTCAACACGGGTATAATAGGAGGTCCTAAAGAAGAAAACCCAAAAAAGGGAATAGAACAAATTAAAAAAACCTATAATTCAATAAATCTTCCCTTAAATGAAAAACAAGATTTGAATCTGCCTAACATTTTTAAAAACTTTTGGGTCTGGTATGGTGGCTCACACTTGTAATCCCAGCACTTTGGGAGGCTGAGGCAGGCAGATCACTTGAGGTCAGGAGTTTGAGACCAGCCTGGCCAACAGGGTGAAACCCTGTCTCTACTAAAAATACAAAAATTAGCCAGGCATGGTGATGCGTGCCTGTAATCCCAGTTACTCAGGAGGCTGAGGCAGGAGAATTGTTTGAACCCAGGAGGTGGAGGTTGCAGTGAGCCAAGATCGTGCCACTGCACTCCAGCCTGGGTGACAGAGCGAGACTTCATCTCAAAAGTAAATAAATAAATAAATAAATACACTGTGTACCTGAGAATATCAAGAATGACCAATACCAGGATGTATTCTTAAGTAAAGTTAATGGACTTTAAAGAAAAAGGAAAATAAATCTTGGCATATAGGTAAAAAGAGCAAGTCTATCATTTTGCCTTGTTTTCTTGTATACCAGGTAACCTTTGACTTCTTTCTGGTCATTGACTTTAATAATTATTTATGGAGTTCTCTGAGGCCTAGATATGTACATGCTGAATTAGAGAGGCTCTAAGCTTGGTTCTGCCAGGTACCTGGTACACTACCATCTACAATGCTTCAAACCAAAGTCAAGGTCTGACAGCCCCAGGTACAAGTCTGCTCAGTGGAAGGTCTGAGGCCACAGGCTCTGCGGACAGCACCTTTTCCTTCTCTTTTCCACTTCCAGCCTAAACAGCAAGCTGCCCTCTTAGTAGTTACTGGAGGTGGGAGGAGGGTTAGATCAGGTTCACCCATACCTTGAATGCCTTAACTCCTGGGAGAGGGGTGGTGAGGTCTATTTAGGGAGATTTTCCCCTCCTCCTAATATGGAAAAGTCCTGGTTTGGAAACTTTGTCTCTTTGGACTTTATGGATTGAATCGTGTCTCCTCCTCCTCCCACAAATTTGTATCTTGAAGTCCTAACTCTCAATGTGACTATTTGGAGATGGGGCCTTTAAGGAGGTAATTAAGGTTAAGTGAGGTCACAAGGGTGGGACCTAATCCAATAAGACTGGTGTTCTTATAAGAAGAGGAAAAGATACCAGAGATCTCTCTCTCTCTCTCTCCATGCACATGCACAGAAGAAAGGTCACAGAAGGACACAGGGAGAAGACAGACACCTGCAAGCCTCAGGGGAAAGCAAACCTGCCAACTCCTTGATCTCGGACTTCCAGCCTCCAGAACGGTGAGCAAATACATTTCTGTTGTTTAAGCTACTCAGTCTGTGGTACTTTGTTGTGGCAGCCTATATGTTTTTCCTTCTATACTATCAACACTTTACTTCCAGGACACTTCTGACACCAAATGTGTCAGACACATTTGACACTTCTGACACCAAATTTTTTCCCATACCAACCAATTTTCTGATACCAGCTGCGTAGCGTAAAATTCAATTCAATTCAATTAAGACACTAATCAGAGTGAGCACAGACTCCACAGGTGAAGGGCTCAGTCCCACAAGCCTGCCCCCACTTTGGATGCCAATCACAAGTATTAGGTCACCAGGTTACTGGCAACTTCTGTTCGATTTGGCTATAAAGCAGAGATTCTCACAATCCCCTTCTTGGGTTTGGTCATTTGCTAGAGTAAGCAAATCATTCAGGAAAACAATTTAATTACTAGATTATCTGTTTATTTCAAAGGATATAACTCAGGAATGGCCAGGTGGAAGAGATGCATAGGGTAAGGTATGGGCAAGGGGCTTGGAGCTTCCAGGCCCACTCTTCAAACTCTGCCCTTTGGGTTTTTATGGAGGCGTCATTATGTAGTCATGATTGATTAAATCACTGGCCATTAGTGATCAACTCAACCTCAGCCCCTCTCCCCTCCCTGGAGGTGACGGGATACGGCTGAAAGTTCCAATTTTCTAATCACTGGCTGGTTCCCCTGGCAGCCAGCCCAGATGCAGAGGTTATCCAGGAGCTTCCAGCAACCAGTCATCTTACTAGCATACAAAAAAAAACACTGATCACTTTAGAGATTCCAAGGGTTTTAGGGGCTGTGTGCCAGAAACTGGGAGCAGACCAATATATAATAAGAAATATATAATAATATCACAGCCCTAGCAAACTCATATATCATAATTTGTGATCCTAATGTCTCAAAATAGAGTCACTCATGTCAAAAAGCATTAAGCCCATAGTGAAATTGTTCCGCCCTCTCTCAAAGTGATAAGCATGTATATAATGGACTGAGGTGATAAGCAAACACCTGCTGCTGCCTGGTATTTCCTGAAATTAACTGGTAGAGAATGAAACGTTGGCTGAGATAAAGAGAACAGACCCATCTGGGAGGATCATAAAAGCAGCCAGGACCTGGCCTTGTTCAAAAAGCCTTCGGAGGCTCTGCCCATGGGAACTCTGGAACCTTCTCCCGATTTTGGCAGTGGCTGCTGGAAGCTCTGCAAGAGAGAAACAGCGATGCCCACTTCTGCTGGCCAGTGCCTGAATGACTTCTGGACCCACTTGGCTCATCTGTTGATGTGTTGGTCTCCGGAGCCATCGTTGTGGTTTGTTACCTCCCTCTTATTACTGCCTGTGTGTTGAACATTAGTGGAGTGACTGATGGGGTATGAAGGCCTGGAAATAAATCAGGAATTCAAGAACTGCTAGTTGGCTATTGTGAAACTTCCCAACTTAGGACAGAGTCAGCACATCAAGGCTGCAGGAACCTAATTAACACAACATAGGCTAAGACACTGGCCCTAGTGGGATGGAACTAGAGCACAGGAACAAGTGTTTGAAAAGTCAGCATTTGCCTTCAGAGCATAAGACTTGGCACTGATACTCCCCTTATATTTCTGGTCACAGGCTTTCACTTAAAATTGGTCTTGGGGGTCTCTCACTGTGTTTTCAAATCCTCAGTGTTTTCAAGGTATGCTTTTTCTTTAAATGAGCATTTTTAGGGCTTTTAATTAATTACTTGATCCAAATAACCTAGGCCACCACTAGCAGAAACCACTGGCCCATTCTTTTATTTTAAACCTTTCTGTGTCCTGATGTTTTAGATGGGTTAATTATAAATAGCACATAGCTTTAACAGTTTTTGATCTAATTATTATTGTCCTCAAACTGTAGCATCAAATCCATTTACATCTATTAGAATCACTGATATATTTAGACTTAAATCTGATTTTGTGCTTTATATTTGTCCTCCTATCAATGCCATATTTCCTTTTTTATATCCTTTCTTGCTTTGTTGGGGGAAGATAGGCTGTCTTCTTTTTTTAAATTGCTGTTTGAATGCAAGATAAACTCTTTCTTATTATTAATTTATTTAGCTCATGATTCTGTGGGGCAGCATTTTTTTTTTTTTTAAACTGGGCTTAACTGGGTCGTTCTTTTGTTGGCCTTACCTGCTGATAGCTGATGGCTCCATTCAAATATCTGGTGGTTTACTGGCTATTGGCCAGGGTGGGGAGATAACTGGACCATGTGTCTCATCATTCAGGAGGCTAGCCAGAGATTATTCACATGACGAAGGTCTCAGGGTTCCCAAAAGCAGTAAAAGAGCAAGTCTCAATACACAAGCACTATTCAAATCTCTGCATGTTTCATGGTTGCTATTGTTCCATTGGCTAAACCAAGTCACATGACCAAGCTAAGGTGGATTCAAAAGATGGAGGACACAGATTCCACCTCTTCGTGAATGTGCAAAGGAAAGCAAAGGGATGTGCATACAAGGATAGGAAGAATTTGTAGCCATTTTCACAAACGACCACAGATGTCAAATTCCCGAAAGAGGTTTATGGATTCTGTGTTATCACAATAAAACCTTAATGTGTTTTATTGTGGAGCTTGATGAGAAAACTCGCTCTATCAGATATTAAGACATAGTGTAAATGCATAGTATATCAGTTTGTTATTTGTGCAGGAATAGACAAACAGGAATAGAAAAGAGAGCCCAGAATCATACCCATGCATTAATAGACACTTGATTTACGATGTATGGCGCTGCAAAGCTGTGAGGAAAGGATCGCCTCGTTAGTAATTGGTGTTGCACAGGTGGCTATCCAGTTGCTAATCCAGTTTTTCTAGTTGTAAAAGCCAGTTCCCAAAACCTAATAATAGGTGACTTTTTCTTCAGGATATTCATGCTATTTGACTGGAAGGGGATGTAATTTCACTTATTAAAACAAGCCTATAATCCAGACTTTCGATAAATGAAATGAATGGCATAGGAACCAGTGATTTCAGTATTTGCCATCAACCTTCAGTTCATCAGCGATGTTTTTCTTACCTCATTCCTTTCATACCAGCTGACATTCTGCATTTTGGAGAATTGCTGAGATCGCTTAACCACAAAGTAAATGAGGTACCCACTTCCACACAAACAGCAGATGATGAGAAAGTTGGCCAGGACACGAAGAAATCTTGTCAGATGGATATTTTCTTCTTTGTTACTCTCTTGTTCATCCACTATTGATTCCTTAATGTGTGAAAATGAGATGTGCATAAATGTCAGGCCAGAAATGCCAGAACCATGGCTGTTGGGTCCCTGAAAATAGTACTTTCTATATTTCCAGAAATGAAATAATACAGAGGAGATGATGTAATGCCCTGTGCCCTATGGATAATTATTTTCTTTAGAAAAATATGTTTGTTGTTATTGCTATTCCAGTACATGTAAGAAACACTTAGATTTCTTAAATAGTCACCATGTGTCAGACGTGGTACTTTCCGTGCATTGTCCCTCTTTTTTTCTTTTTTGAGACAGAGTTTTGCTCTTGTTGCTCAGGCTGGGGTGCAATGGTGCAATCTCGGCTCACCACCTCCTGGGTTCAAGTGATTCTCCTGCCTCAGCCTCCCGAGTAGCTGGGATTACAGGCATGCACCACCACGCCTGGCTAATTTTATATCTTTAGTAGAGATGGGGTTTCTCCATGTTGGTCAGGCTGGTCTCGATCTCCTGACCTTAGGTGATCTGCCTGCCTCAGCCTCCCAAACTGCTGGGATTACAGGCATGAGCCACTGTGCCTGGCTGCATTGTCCCTCTTAATCCCAGCAACACACCAGTAGAATAGTTACTGTTATTACCCACATTACAGACCCCAAGGCCCAGAGAGATTTCAGTAACTGATTGGGATCATGTTAAGTCTATAGGTCAAATAGATTCCAACTGAATCTTAAAATATTGAGTCTTCTAATCGAGGGTTGGCAAACTCATTCTATAAAAAGCTAGATAGTATTTTTGGTTTGCTGGTCATATGGTCTCTCTCACAACCACTCAGCTATGCCATTGTGGCATGAAAGCAACCATAGACAAGATGTAAATAAATTGGAATGCCTTTGTTTCGATAAAACATTATTTGTAAAAGTAGGCAGCAGGCTGGATTTGGCCTGTGGGCCATAGTTTGCCAACCTCTGTTCTAATCCATCAGCATAGCATATCTCTCCATTAGGGTTTCTTAATTTCTTTCGGCAATATTTTATACTTTTGGTGTAATGGTCTTGTACATTATTTTGGTTAAATTTATGTCTAGGAATTTTATGGGTTTTTTTTGGATACTATTAATAGAACTTAAACTTTTTTTTCTTTTTTTTTTTTTTTTTTTCTGAGACAGTCTTGCTGCGTCGCCTAGGCTGGAGTGCAGTGGCATGATCTCGGCTCACTGCAACCTCCGCCTCCTAAGTTCAAGTGATTCTCCTGCCTCAGCCTCCTGAGTAGCTGGGATTACAGGTGCCCACCACCACACCCGGCTAAATTTTTTTTTTTTTGAGACCGAGTCTTGCTCTGTCACCCAGCCTGGAGTGCAGTGGCACAATCTCGGCTCACTGCAAGCTCCGCCTCCCAGGTTCACGCCATTCTCCTGCCTCAGCCTCCCAAGTAGCTGGAACTACAGGCACCCGCCACCATGCCCGGCTAATTTTTTTTGTATTTTTAGTAGAGACAGGGTTTCACTGTATTAGCCAGGATGGTCTCGATCTCTTGACCTCGTGATCTGCCCGCCTCAGCGTCCCAAAGTTCTGGGATTACAGGCGTGAGCCACCACACCCAGCCACACCCGGCTAATTTTTGTATCTTTAGTAGAGGCAGGGTTTCCCCATGTTGTCCAGGCTGATCTCAAACTCCTGACCTCAGGTGATCCACCTGTCTCAGCCTCCCAAAGTGCTGGGATTACAGGCATGAGCCACTGTGCCTGGCCTTAAACTTATTTTCGAATTGTTTTCTGTTAGTATATAAAAATTGATTTTTGATTATTAAACTTGTGCCCTAGACACAGAGTAATTGGTAGAACCAGGATGAAAAATGAGCTCTCCCAGACCCCAAAGTCTTAATTCACAGAATTTTCACATCTATTCTGTTATACAAGTATATTATGTCTCTTTTAATAAACTTACAAAAGAAGTCATTTTACTTCTCACATGTTCAAAGTGTTTCAAAGACATTGATCTTCTTTGTCCCTCTCTCACAATCCTGGAGGAAAAGTCAAAGCCCCCAGTCACCCCTACCCTGGCTTTGGATGGAAGTGGCCATAAGCCCCCCATTGCTGTAAGAAGGAGAAGGAGAGGAGACAGAGTCAGCTCCCTGCTCCATGCACTGCAAAGCCCACCGGGCTCTAGGGCTGGGAAACCCATGCTGTGAGTTGCTGAGCTCAAGCCCTTTTCCTAGTGGGTGTCCCTGCCATCTGCAGGCATCAGTCAGTGGACAGCAGGAAGGAATTCAAGAGAGGGGAGGGGCAAAGAAAAGAGAACGAAGCGCAGTTGTAGTGTAATGTGAGCTTTGCTAGGTCCTGGGGGAAAGAAAGCTTCACTGATCAGACAGGAGAAATATTGAGCCATAAAGAACTTGGAATGGGAGCTGGGTGCAGTGGCTCACACCTGTAATCCCAGTGCTTTGGGAGGCCAGGGAGGGAGGATGGCTTGAGGCCAGGAATTTGAGACCAGCCTGGGCAACATAGTGAGAGACTTCATCTCTACAAAAAATAGAAAAATTTAACTGGGCATGGCACTCCAGCCAGAGTGAGACCTTGTCTCCAAAAAAAAAAAAAAAAAAAAAAATGTAATTAAAGAAAAAAAAAACGAAGAACTTGGAATGGTTTTTACAATCACGGGGGCAAAGTACAATGTACAATGCTTCAGCATTACAGCTTTGGCCTTCATTCATTTGCTTCCCAGCTGGATGGTTATTTTATATGAGCTATAGTTCTGTAGACCTCCTCAAACCTCTCTTGTAAAGAAATTATTTGTGTGTGGATTGAAAGAAACATAGGGTTGATTTCATCTTTTTTTTTTTTTTTTTTTTAACATTATCCCATTCATTCATTCATTTTGAGCCAGAGTCTCACTCTGTCACTCAGGCTGGAATGCCGTGGTGCGATCTTGGCTCTCCGCAACTTCTGTCTTTTGGATTCAAGAGATTCTCCTGCCTCAGCCTCCCGAGTAGCTGGGATTGGCAGGTGGATCATTTGAGGTCAGGAGTTCAAGATCAGCCTGGCCAAAATGGTGAAACCCCATCTCTACTAAAAATACTTTTTATTTTTTAAATATGCAAACCCAACCACTCAATTATACATACACTCCAACTGCAACTTAGAACCCTAAAATAGTCCTTTGTTTATTATGCACCCTCAGAAGGGTTTTTCTGCTTTGTTGTACCTTTTTTTTGGACATGTACACACAGGAAACTTTCTGTCTCTTTTTTTATCTCATGGAACTGTGTTTTGATTTGTTTTGTTTTGTTTTCAGAACCCCCCATGCCTGTTTTTATACCAGTCACATAAATAAACAACACCCAGTCTCACTGGAAAATGATGGAAACTTTGTCAGCAGCACTTCACATGAAAAAAACTCTTGTTTAGAAAATAAATGGTGATTTTAAAGTAGAGACATGGGCTGGGCACAGTGGCTCATGCTTGTAATCCCAGCACTTTGGGAGGCCGAGGCGGGCAGATCACTTGAGGTCAGGAGTTTGAGACTGGCCTGGTGAAACCATGTCTCTACTAAAAATACAAAAAAATTAGCCGGGCATGGTGATGTGCACCTGTAATCCCAGCTACTCAAGAGGCTGAAGCAGGAGAATCACTTGAACCCAGGAGCCGGAGGTTGCAGTGAGCTGAGATTTTGCCACTACACTCCACCCTGGGTGACAGAGCGACACTCTGTCTCAATAAATAAATAAATAAATAAATAAATAAATAAATAAAGTAGAGGCAAGGTCTGTGAAGGAACCCTCTCAGTCAGAATCCTACACACGTGCAAAGGTTTGCCCACCTCAGCCCCTGTGGGACTGATCTGCACAGACCATATTGCTAGCCTTCTGTCACCAAGCTTTCACTCTGTCTCCCTTTCTCTCTCTTTGTTATTTTCCAACTACCAAGTTCAAATTCTTTTTTTTTTTTTTCATTTCACTAGCTTTCTGGGGAACAGGTGGTGTTTGGTTACATGAATAAGTTCTTCAGTGGTGATTTCTGAGATTTTGGCGCAGCCATCAGTGTTGATTTCTTTATTCCCACAGCCCCAAACCAGGGTTCTCAGCTCTTTCTGAGTATTCTAATCACTTGGGGAGCTTTTGAAAAACCAATGTCAGGACCCTACTCCAGGCCAGTTATATCAGAGTCTCTGTTAGTGGATCCCAGGAGATCTTTTAAGCTCCTCAGGTGATTCTAGTATGCAGAAAAAGTTGAGAAATGCTTTCCCCAAATGAGTCCTTCCACTTATTCCAGCAGAAATGTGTTTCACGTAGAAACAGGCAGCACCAGGTCTCAGCATCCAGGATACTCTGTCATATTAAGAAACAGACAGGCTGGGCGTGGTGGCTCATGTCTGTAATCCCAGCACTTTGGGAGGTGCAGGAGGGCAGATCACTTGAGGTCAGCAGTTCAAGACCAGCCTGACCAACATGGTAAAACCCCATCTCTACTAAAAATACAAAAAAAAAAAAAAATTAGCTGGGCATAGTGGCAGGCACCTGTAGTCCCAGCTACTCGGGAGGCTGAGGCAGGAGGATCGCTTGAGCCCAGGAGGCAGAGGTTGTAGTGTGCTGAGAGCACACCACTGCACTCCAGCCTGGGCAATGGGAGAGAGATGCTGTCTCAAAAAGAAAAGAAAAGAAACAGACAGTGGGCACCAGCCACGAACATTCTTACTTAAGGGTTTGAAAACTGGGCTCACATTTCTGGGAAGGCTCTTGCCACAAATTATTTGAGGACCTTATTTTCTATGTCCCAGCTGGGAGAAGTCTCTCAATGACCAGAGGGACCTAGAGTTCTCCGGAAGTGGGAACTGCCCTGGGGTGACTACCTTGAAGCTGGTGGTGATGGATGCATATTTGTTATCAGCTGTCTCTGAATTCCCGATCAGGTAGTCCCAGCTGGTGAACATCTTGAAGCTGAATGTGAAGTTGTCACTCTCCCCTTCGCCTGTGCTTCCTTGGGTATTGCTGGCCATCCTGTAGGGCACACAGCACTGTTGTGACGTCTGCCCTCTTTCTGCTGTGTCACCCCCAGGGAACCTTGGCCTAGCCAGTCTCGGACACAGGTAACAGATAAACAGGTAGCTGACATTCAGTGACAAAACAAGCCAGGCAGGGACTTGAGCCAAGACAGCTTTGAGGATAGCCAGGACACCCTTCCCCCCAAATTCAGAGTCCCCTGAAAGCACACATGGTATCAATGAGGTAATAAAAAGCCTGCAGGAGACAAGACACGTGACCATGTTTTCTTCCCTACACCCGATTTCCTGTGGCTTGACTCATCTGCAAATGCAGTTTGAGAACTCTATACGGGAGTCTATTCTCAAACAGGAACGTCCCCTTCTAAGTCATCTATTTTCTTGGATAGAACACACACACACATACACACACACACACACACACACACACATATATATTTTTTTCTGATATAAAATGCAAAACACACTGAGGTGGCTGGTGCTACTTTGTTGTGCTACTTTTTTTTTTTTTTTTTGGTAACAGAGTCTCGCTCTGTCGTCCAGGCTGGAGTGCAGTGGCCTGATCTTGGCTCACTGCAGCCTCCACCTCCCGGGTTTAAGCAATTCTCCTGTCTCAGCCTCCCGAGTAGCTGGGATTACAAACACCTGCCAGGACGCCTGGCTAATTTTTTGTATTTTTGGTAGAGATGGGGTTTTGCCATGTTGGCCAGGCTGGTCTCGAACTCCTGACCTCAGGTGATCTGCCTGCCTCGGCCTCCCAAAGTGCTGGGATTACAGGTGTGAGCCACCACGCCCGGCCCGGTACTACTTTTAATTGCAAAACCATCAATTACTTTTGCACCGTCCTAATACAATCAGGTCATATATCCTTCTCTTAATCAAGTTTGGCTGAAAGCACCTTGGACCTTCCTATTTCATCCTACCTGTCTTCAACCTATGCTCCCTAGAGTT
Organism: Homo sapiens; assembly: GCF_000001405.40. Taxonomy (NCBI): domain Eukaryota; kingdom Metazoa; phylum Chordata; class Mammalia; order Primates; family Hominidae; genus Homo; species Homo sapiens. Next base: position 2,596,197 of record NC_000020.11, on the reverse strand, counting down.
TGACCCTGTGGGAATCACAGAATTCCAAACAGGGGTGCTATAAGATACTATGAGGGGTTTGTCATCTTCCCTAACATGTTGGCTCTCTGGATTTGCTGTTCCACAGGGCTTAGTTAGCTTTTTTGGTTTGTCACGAAAACTTTGCATATTTCTATACTTATCTGGGGTGAGAGCAGGGAAAAAGCAACAACATGAGGGCTAAGAATAAAAGCAAGCCTGTCTCCTTGTTCTTTTCCTTTTGCCTGATAGGGCTGTGCAGTCAGAGATCACCCAGTGGTCACTGTCGAGTGCTGGGCAGGGTCTTGGGAACAACAGCATTTCCGCCTGAGACCATGTGAAAGAAAACCAAGCGTCCCCATTGCCCTTTCAGGGGCTGTACCCAGACTTCACTCTACCCAGTGCTCCACTCCTCTCCTGGAGACACAGCCACCCTCTTCTGGGAGGCTGTGACCCCTCATGTCTGTGCTGAAGGGAGAGTGGGCCCAGGTGGATAGGTTTGTGTAGGAGACAGTGCCTTCCACTCCGTGACCCCCAGCCACAGCTGATGGGGTCCCCTGATTCTGAAGAAGGCGATCAATCCATGGGCTGGGCCAAGTTTTCAGAGAATAGGAATTAAGAGTTACAGACATATTAAAAGGCCACTTCTGACCACAGAGACAAGTAGAGTTGGGGCCAGAGAGGCCGCCATGGTTAATCACTGCCACATATATTTATTTAGTATAAGTTTATTTGGTTGTATCTTTCTATATGCCAGCCTTGGTTCTAACACACAAGCTAGAGTTTGGAGGAGCAGAAGAGTTTTTTGGAGGAAGCTGAGCTCTGGACAAAAGCAAAAACAGGCCTGACAAACCTCCAGGCCTACCTTACTAGGTACTATGCTCCCTCTCAAGCCACACTGGCCTTTTGGCAGTTTGGGAAAACACTAGGCTATTTGCGGCCTCAGGGCCTTTGCACATGCTCTTCTTTTGTCTAAAATGCTGCTCCCCAGAATTTCAGCATGGCTGGCGTTCTCAGCCTCATCCAAAGGGGTTTCAATCCTATTTCCCAGCACATCCCACATGGCCTGGTTCATGTCTTTCATACCACAAATTATAATGTGCATATGCTTTCTGTGCTCATTTCCTGTTTTCTCTCTGAATGCCCCACCAGAAGGGAGGTAGGCATAGAGTGGCCAGGGGAGTGAGCTGTGGCTGTGAAGTCAAAGCCTGCGGATGAGACGGTCATACTTACGATCGAATGACAATAATCAGGCTGTAGCCGAACACGCTGACCCCCACCATAAAGTAAGCCATAGGCAGCCGGTACCTCAGCCACCCGATGGTCCTCTGGTTGTTGTAGTAGCCATAGAAGAGTGCAGAGTACTTGATATAGCCCTGGGGGACAGCAAAGCCAAATGCTCTGGGTTGGTAAGCTCAGAGCTGGTGGTTACCAGACATGTCTACTCTACCAGGGATTTCTTTCTCAGAGTCTTAACCGAATCTAAGGGCCGAAGGAAGAGTTCCAGATGTTCTTGTTCTTCCCTTCACCTCCTCCAGTGGCTCCAGAGCCCCTCCATATCTCCCCTTCTTTCTCTCCTTCATTCCCTCTATTTCCTCATTACATAGAGTGCATGGAGACATGGGAGGGAGAAGAGAGTGTTGTTAACATTTGGGATCAAATTAGGGATAGGGGGTTGGGCACTGTGGCTCACGCCCGTAATCCCAGCACTTTGGGAGGCTGAAGTAGGCAGATCACTTGAGGCCAGGGGTTCAAGACCAACCTGGCTAACGTAGTGAAACCTTGTCTCTACTAAAAATACAAAAATTTGCCAGGTGTAATAGCAGGTGCCTGTAATCTCAGCTACTTGGGAGGCTGAGGCAGGAGAATCACTTGAACCTGGGAGGTGGAGGTTGCAGTGAGCAGAGATCATGCCCGTGCACTCCAGCCTGGGCAACAGAGGGAGACTCTGTCTCAAAAAAAAAAAAAAAAAAAAGGAATCCTTAGTAACAGTATAGTTGGGAACCCCTGTTCCAAATAACTTTCTGAAGGGTCTCCAATCTGACTTTGAGAGTGAAGGATGGCAGCAGCAATGACTTGCTGTGGGCAGCACTACAGCCATGCCTCCCAGCCTTAGGAAGCCCTTGGAGCTGCAGAGTAAGCCTCCAGAGGCATGGGAGTATGAAGCTCACAAAGGAGGGAAGAGTGCTGCAGGCAGAGGGCCATAAGCAAAGGCAGAGAGGCAATGACAGTGTGTGATGCGTGCAGGGACTTCCCCAAAGCTTGGTGGCATTGGGGCACTAAAGTGTGAGGTATTACTGGAGAGGTAGGGAGCAGCCAGGTCATGAACAGTTCCTTTGTAAACCCAATTAAGAACACTGGATTTTATTCCACTGGGAATGAGAATCAATGAAAATTTGAGGTAGGGGAGTGACAGGGTCAGATCTGCATTTTATAAAGATCACTCCAGCAACAAAGGGAATGGAAATTTTAGGAGCCAAGCCAAGGCAGGGAGGAGAGGTAGATGATTCTGACAGTAGTTCCAGTAAAGGGAGGACGTTATTCAAAGTGAAGGTAAAAGAGATGGAAAAACGCATTTTGCCTAATGATGGGATCCTATTTGATTAAAGAACTGGTTTTTCAATAATCAAGTCCACTGTTTCACACTTACACACGCAATCTTTAGGCCTTACAATCACAAGTGGAAGTTCATTGGTACATTGGCAATAGCACCTTGAAATCTTGAAGGATGAAAAACTCCGTGGCTTTTTCTTACTCAGTCCAGATATTCACTGATTTTCTTCCTCCTCAGATATTCATTGATTCTCATTCCCAAATGGAATAAAAGCCAAGGTTCTTAATTGGTGATATGGTTTGGCTCTGTGTCCCCAGCCAAATCTCATCTTCAATTGTAATCCCCAGGTGTTGAGGGAGGGACCTGGTGGGAGGTGAATGGATCATGGGGACAGTTTCCCCCATGCTGTTCTCATGATAGGGAGGGAGTTCTGGTGAGATCTGGTTGTTCTGATAAGTTTCTGGCATTTCCCCTGTGCTCTCTGTCTTCTGCTGCCATGTAAGAAGTGCCTTGCTTCCCCTTTGCCTTCCACTGTGATTGCAAGTTTCTTGAGGCCTCCCCAGCCATGCGGAACTGTGAACCAATTAAACCCATTTATTTATAAATGACACAGTCTCAGGTAGTAGTGTGAACATGAACTAATACAATTGGGTTTACAAAAGATTTAAGAAATATTTAGTAGGTAGGTTCAGATTTAGTGGTTGGTTGGATGGCAGTGGCGGGTGGTTGGTGAGGAAGAGGTAGAAGCGTGGGATGATTTTCAGGCTTCAGACATGGATGATTGGATGAATGGTGATTCCAATAAAGGAGCTGGGAAAAAGAGATGTGGGTTTTGGCTGGATAGGTGTTGCATTTGAAGAGCAAGTAGGACATTCAGTTGAAGATGTCATGTGAAACTTGGGGAAGCCTGGAGTGGAGATAGATCTGGGGTCTTAATGTGGGAATGAGGAAAGAAAAGCATACCGTGAGATCACCTTACAGAGACCTGGCAGACAGAGAGGTGCAGTGGCTGCATGGGGAGCCCACATCTGTCAGAGTGTGGCTGGAGAGAGCAGTGCGTGAAGGAGACCCGGGAAGACTGTGCAGAGACATGGTTTGCAAGCTCATTTAGCTTAGTGCTGGGATCCTATTAAAGCAATGGTTTTTCAATAATTAAACGCACTATTTCATACTTATCCATGCAATCTTTAGCCTTTATAATCACAAATGGAAGTTCATTGGCATGTTGACAATAGTACCTCAAAATCCCAAAGGACAGAAAAATCCATGGCCTTTTCTTCCTCAGCCCGAGGCACTGTCTTTCTGGGAATACTCCCATAGGGCATGCCCATCAGTACCTTGTGCAGAAACACAATGACACAAGTATGAGTGGAGGAAATACAAACACACAGAGACATTCATATACTGGGGTAAATGCTTTCCTTCTCAGAGCGGAATACACCTATTTTCTTCTTTCTTTATGTATTTATTAATTTAATTCATTTTTTATTTTTTGAGATGGAGTTTCACTCTTGTCACCCAGGCTGGAGTGCAATAGCACAGTCTCAGCTTACTGTAACCTCCGCCTCCCAGGTTCAAGTGATTCTCCTGCCTCAGTCTCCCGAGTAGCTGGGATTACAGGTGCCTGCCAACATGCCTGGCTGTTTTGTATTTTTAGTAGAGACAGGATTTCACCATGTTGGCCAGGCTGGTCTTGAACCCCTGACCTCAGGTGATCCACCCACCTTGGCCTCCCAAAGTGCCAGGATTACAGGCGTGAACCACTGAGCCCGGCTCTATTTTCTTCTTTAAATAACATTGATCGCTTTCCTGATTTTAAGAGTAACACACACTCATTGTAAAAAATGTGAAAAAGTACAGAAGAGCGTTTCTTTTCTTTTCCTTTCCTTTTCTTTTCTTTTCTTTTCTTCTCTTTTCTCTTTTCTTTTCTTTCTTTTTTGAGACAGGTTCTCACTTCATCACCTAGGCTGGAGTGCAGTGGCTCCATCTCGGCTCATTGCAATAACTTCTGCCTCCCTGGCTCACGTGATCCTCCCACCTCAGCCTCCTGAGTAGCGGGAACTACAGGTGTGTACCCCCACGCCCAGCTAATTTTTTGTATTTTTAGTAGAGACAAGGTTTTGCCATGTTGCCCAGCTGGTCTCAAACTCTTGGGCTCAAGTGATCCTACTACCTTGGCCTCCCAAAGTGCTGGGATTACAGGCATGAGCCACCGTGCCCAGCCAGAAGAGCATTTTAAAAATTACCTATCAGTGCCAAAACCCAAAGATAATGACTGTTAGATATTTATATATTTTCTTTTAGTTATTTCTGAGTTCTATGTATATTTTAGTCTAGTTATTTAGTCTAATATTATTTTGTGACCAGTTTCCTACGTCATAAGGTATTTCCCCAAATAAAATGACTTCAAAAATATCTAATAAAAATATGTACAAGAAACTTACTTAACAAATCCTCTATTGTTGGACATTAAAGTATTTCTAGTTCTATACGTGTATATAATTCTGTTATTAATACCCTTATACATATGCCCTTATTCATATCCTTAATTGTAAAAAAAATCAGAAATGGATTAGATTTATATATTGATTTAGGAAGGATTGACTTTTTAATGAGATTAAATTTTTCCTTCCAAGAATATATCCTTCCATTTATTGTCTTATTTTTGTCCAGTAATTCTTTATAGTGTTCCTCATAGAAATATTCTGATTTATTAAATGTATTACTAGTTATTTTATAAATTTATTGCATTGTGTCAAAATTTTAAATTCTATTTTTAAGTGGACATTAAATATACAGAAAATCACTGCCATTTGTCTTTAAAATGACTCCAGTCATCTCAATATACTTGTTTATTAGATTCTAGTAGTTTTTCATAAAATCATTGGAGTTTTTGGGGGGTTTACAATCATATCACCTGCAAACCAAAATAACTTTGTATTTTTTTTGTACGAAGTGTATAAGATGTTAATTTTCCTGACATTGCATTAGGTGGCAGAAATTAATATTGAAAAGTAGTAGGGATAGGGATATATCATGTTTCTTTTGATTTTTGTAACAGGCTTTAGTATTTTTCACCATTTAATATAAAATTACTTTGTTTCTTAATTTATAGGTTCTTCATTTTTAGGTAATTTTCTTTTATTTCTTTTTGTTTCTTTGTTTTAAATTTATTTTCTTATTGGGGAATATGTTATACATAAAATAGTATATGTATAACATATATGTATAGTTGATCATAATAAAAAGGAAATTAACTACTATATATCCACTAGCTAGCTTAAGAAACAGGAAATTTCCAGGCCTTTATAGTACCCTGGATAAGCCCCTCCTGAATTATATCCCTCTTGCATCCTAAGATGCAACCAAGATATAGTACATTTTATGTTAACAATTCCCTTGTTTTTCCTTATATTTTACTCATTTATTGTTTTGTTTTGCCTGTTTAGTTTTGCCTGTAAAATGGAATCATGCATAAGTATTCTCCTATGAATTGTTTTTTTCATACAACATTACACTTTTGAGATTCATTGATATTGACATTTGTAGCTACAGTTCTCTAATTTTCACTGTTACGTAATATTGCATTGTATGGACATACTATAATGTATTTACACAGTCTACTCTTCATAGACATTTGGATTGTTTCCAGATTTTACTATTAAAAACAATACTGCCGGCCATGCGCGGTGGCTCATGCCTGTAATCCCAGCACTTTGGGAAGCCGAGGTGGGCAGATCATGAGGTCAGAAGATCGAGACCATCCTGGCTAACACGGTGAAACCCTGTGTCTACTAAAAATACAAAAAATTAGCCGGGCATGGTGGCGGGCGCCTGTAGTCCCAGCTACTTGGGAGGCTGAGGCAGGAGAATGGCGTGAACCTGGGAGGCGGAGCTTGCAGTGAGCCGAGATTGAGCCACTGCACTCCAGCCTGGGAGACAGAGGGAGACTTTGTCTCAAAAACAAATTAACAAACAAACAGTACTGCCAGCAAAAGCAGGGGAAGTTGCTTTGGACAAACTCTTTCACTGAGAACAACTAGACAAGTGGACAATCATGACTTGTGCTGCCAAGATCCAGGAGATAAAGAAATTCTGAAGAAGTGATTGTGCATTGCTGTTCCCCATGAGTTATTCGTTGATTTCAATCACAGCAGCTAAAAGATAAAGACAGTATGCAGCAACTTTGGAATAGTCAAAGGGCTGAAGAATGAAATGAGAGTGAAATTTAAGGACAAATAGGTTTGGGAGGTTGAGGCAGGTGGATCGCTTGAGCTCAGGAGTTCAAGACCAGCCGGGGCAACATGGAAAAACCCCATCTCCACACACACACACACACACACACACACACACACACACACACACACACACACACAGGGCAAATAGGAAGATATCTGGAAAAAGCCCAAGCTTTTAGTTGAGGCCTGGGAAGATTTTACTCAGAAAGTAAAATTAGACAAAAATATAGACCATCTTGCTTAGTTCTCCCACCAGAGGAATAAGTAAAACTCAATAATTGCTCACAAACAATGCGTAGCACTCAGCTTGACTAAAAACTAAAAGAAAAATTAAACAATAAAAACAGATTCAAAGGAAGTCTAAATAAGGGAGTTGTCAGTCATGAGCTTTAAAATAAGTTTGATTAATATGCTTAAGGAATTAAGGGACAAGATGAATCATTTTGGTAGAGAACTGGAAACTATAAAAACAATCAAATGGAAGTTATAGAACTGAAGCATGTGATCATCGAAATTAAAAGCTCAATGGACAGATTTAAGAACATATAGATCAGAAAAGAGAATGGCTAAATTTTAATACAGGGTTAAAAAAGTCCAGACTTAAATATATAGAGAAAAAGATGGAAGATACTGAAAAGAGCATAAGGCATACATGGAAATACAGAGACAAGGCTCACTGAGACAAGACACACACACACACACACACACACACACACAAAGACACATGCAAAGGCACACACATATATGTAGTCCCAGAAGGAGAGAGAAGATGGAATGGCATAGAAACAGTATTTAAAGGGATTATGGCAGAGAATTTTCCCAATGTGACAAAAGACAGTTTAAGATTTAGTAAGTGCTACAGATCCAAAGCTGGATATCTACTGCTTTGGATTTCTATTTCTGTGTAACAAATTACCACAAAGATGGCCTAAAGCAACACCATTTATTAGCTCACAGTTCTGTAGGTCAGCAGTCTAGCATGGTGTGGCTGGATTCTCTGCTCAGGGTCTCACCAGACTGAAATCAAAGAGTCAGCAGGGGCTAAGGGTCTCATCTGGGGTCTGGAGTCCTCTTCCAAGCTCACTTATTGTTGGCAGAATTCATTTCCTTGTGCTTGTAGGACTGAGGTCCCTGTTTCCTTGCGGGGTGGCAGATGGCGGCCACACTCAGCCTCTCAAGGGCTCCCACATTCCCCATTACATGGTTCCCTCCATCTTTAAGCCAGCAGTGGTGTGTTCAATCCTTCCCATGTTTTGAATATCTGTGACTTCTTCTGCAACCAGCCAGAGAAAACTCTTGGCTTTTAAAGAGCTCATGTGATTAAATTAGGCTCACTCAAATAACCTTGGAGTGATACCTCATTCCTAGGTTCTGTCCATACTCAAAGGGGGGGGGGATTATACAAGATTGAGGGTCATTTAGGGTCATTCTTAGAATTCTGCCTACCACATATACAAAAAGCAACAAATCAACAATGACAACAAAAACTTCACTTAGGGAATTGGGGAGATTGGGAAATGTTGGTCAAAGGATACAAAATTTCAGCTAGATAGGAAGTATAAATTCAAGAGATCTATTGTACGACATGGTGACTATAGTTAATAACAATGTATTGTATACTGGAAAATTGCTATGAGAATAGATTTTAAGTGTTCTCACCAAAAATAAATGATAAGTATAGGTATATGAGGTGATGCATATGTTAATTAGCTTGATTTAACCATTCCACAATATATACACATTCCAAGACAGCATTTTGTACAACATAAATATATGCAATTTATATTTGTCAATTAAAAGAAGTACATTTTTAAAAATTCACCTAAACCTACCACAGGAAAATTTACACAAATTCTTCAAGAGAATAATAAAAAAAAACATTCCCAAATCACTTTATGAGGTCTAATAGTGATCCCCAAACATAAGAACATTATAAGAAGGATATTTACAGTCCAGTATCTCAAAAATAGATGCAAAAATTCTAGATAAAATATTCACAAATCAAAATCAGATGATATATAAAAAAGATAATACATAATAACCTAGTTGGGTTTATTCCAAGAATGCAATCTGGTTTAACATTTGAAAATAAATCAATATAATTCACCACATAACAATCTTAAATTTGTATGTGCCCAATAACATGGCATTAACATATATAAAACAAAAATAATAATTACAATGAGAAGAAGACAATGGCAGGAGATTTAATTGATCTCACTCAGCAATTGATCATGCTACTCTAAAATTAGTAAGATTATAGATAATTTGTAGAATACAAGTAATATTTTGAACCATGCAAATAATATAAAAATTTAGGAAAATTAACCATATTCTAAGTAAATAAAGCAAGTCCCAAGTGATGAAAAAGTATCAGTTTCATACAAAATATACACTATGATCACTATAAAATTATACTAAAAACCAGTAAAAAATGCCACCAATCTTTCTATATATTAAAGTCTTGAAAATTATTCATAAATAACTTGTGGATTACAAGGAAATTAGAAAATACCTAAAAATAAATAATGGCAATGTATATCAAAGTATATGGCATGCAACTAAAATGGTATTGAGAGGAAAATTTATAAATGAGTGTTGTGTTACTGATGTCATTTGAATGTCCCTTCCAACTCTCATGTTGAAATGTGATTCCCAGTGTTGGAGGTGGGGCCTGGTGGGACATACTGGATCACGAGGGCAGATTCTTCATAAATGGCTTAGCACTATCCCCTTGGTGATAAGTGAGTTCTCACTCGGTTAGTTCACACGAGATATGGTTGTTTACAAGTCTAGGACCTCTCCCAATCACTCTCTTGCTCCTGCTCTCGCCAAGTGATGTGCTGGTTCCCCTTCACCTTCCATCATGATGTAAGTTTCCTGAGGCCCTTAACAGAAGCAGATGCTGGCACTTTGCTTTCTGTACAGCCTGGAGAACCATGAGCCAATTAAACCTCTTTTCTTTATAAATTACCCAGCCTCAGGTATTTCTTCATAGCAACACAAGAACAGGCTACTACAGTTGTAGACTTGCTATGGGCCAATAACTCCTTTGTGCCTCCCATTTTTCTCCTGTTTGAACACAGGCATGTCTATAGCATTTATCTTATGCCTGTCCCACCATTTTATGTTTGTTGTGTTGGTGCAGATAACATCTTTTTAGTCTCATGGTAAAGAGAACTGAACTCAAGGAGTTGTATTTAAAGAGCTACCCCCATGGAGCTTCATCTGCACCTGAACTACTGATTTAGAGTGAGAGTTTGGAATCTGAGCTGATGCTATGCCAGAATAAGATTTTTAGAGGCCTTGAGGAGGGGCGAGTGTATTCTGCATGTGGAAGGGATGTGAATCACTGAGGACCAGAGGGTTCAATGTGGTAGGCAGCCTGTGAGGTGGCTCACATGATCCCTGCCTCTGGTATTTATTATTGTGTACCATAATACCCTCCCACTGAGTGTGGGCTTGATTTAGTGACTCACTACTAAGGAATAAAATATGGCAGAAGTGATGGAATGTCATTTCTGAGATTAGGTTATAAAAAATGGTGGCTTCTATGTGGGAAGCTTCTTTTTGCTCTATTTCCTTCTTGGATTCTCTCCTTCTGGGAGAAGAAAGCTGCCACCTTATGAGCTTGCCTATGGAAAAACTCATGTAGTAAGAAACTGATGTCTCTGGCCAATAGCCACTGAGTACCTGAACCTTGGGAACAGCCACATAAGTAAGGTTGGAAGCAGATTTTCTGAGGCCTGCCAGAAGCCACGTGAGTAAGCTTGAAATTGTATCTTCTGAGATCTGCCAGTAGCCATGTGAGTGAGCTTGGAAGCGGATCTTCTTCAGTTCAGCCTCAAGATAATTGTAGCCTTGGTCAAAACCTAGACCGTAGGCTGTGGGAGACCCCAAGCCAGAACCACTTCTGGATTCCTGACCCACAGAAATAATAATAAATGGTTGTTGTATTCAGCGAAAAAATAGGGAGTAATTTGTTACCCAGCAATAGATAATGAATACAAACCCCAAGAAATTAGAAGGAAAGAAATGAAACATATAAGTTAGAAATTAGTAATATAAAAATAAAGATATAAAAGAAAAAGACCTGAAAGTGAATGTTTTATAGTAGAGTTATTCATAATAGTTTCCAAATAGAAACAACTGAAATGTCCATGAGCTGGTGAATGGATAACAAACTATGATATACTCATATGGTGGAATATTACAATCCCATTGTAATTTTCAATTCCATTTCAGCAATAAAGGGACAAATGACTGATAAACTACATGAAAGAATTTCAAAGACATTGTACCAACTGAAAGAGGTTAGACACAATAAAACTGCATACTACATATTTCTATTTGTATGATATTCTGAAAAGGGCAAAACTTTGGGAACAGAAATCAGAAATCAATCATTGGTTGTCAAGGGCTGGGAGCTGGGAGAGGAGATTGCTTGCAATGTGGGTACTAGAGAAATTTAGGGGGCGATGGAAATGTTCTATATTTCAGTTGTGTGGTGGTTACCTGATCATACATTTGTCAAAAGTCATTGAATTGTATACCTAAAAGGAGTAAATTTTACTTGATGCAAATTGTGCCCCCCAAAAGACTGAATTAAAAAAAAAAAGACATTTCAGAGAGAATCAGCAAAGCCAAAAGTTTTTTCTTGAACAAAATAACTAAAAAAGACAAACTTTGCTGTAAATGAGACAAAAAAATTATACTGTAATGCAAAAGGGGATACATCTTTAGATACACTGTGATTTTAGAAAATAAGAGATGACTGTATTTAAGTCACTACATTTTAAAATGTGAGTTGAAATGGAAAGTTCAGGATAGTGAGGGTTACGTAGGTAATAAAATTGGGGAAAATTAATCAGAGGACTTCAGTGTGTGTGTAATATTTCATTTTTTAGGCATGGTGATGAGCAAGTAGGCTCATTCATTATATCTTTTCTTTTTTTTTTTTTTTTTGAGACGGAGTCTCGCTCTGTCGCCCAGGCTGGAGTGCAGTGGCGGGATCTCGGCTCACTGCAAGCTCCGCCTCCCGGGTTCACGCCATTCTCCTGCCTCAGCCTCCCAAGTAGCTGGGACCACAGGCACCCGCCACTACGCCCGGCTAATTTTTTGTATTTTTAGTAGAGACGGGGTTTCACCGTGTTAGCCGGGATGGTCTCGATCTCCTGACCTCGTGATCCGCCCGCCTCGGCCTCCCAAAGTGCTGGGATTACAGGCGTGAGCCACCGCGCCCGGCCTCATTATATCTTTTCATATGTCTGAAATAATTTAGTAGTTATTTTTAAGGGGAAGTATCATAAGAGGTTTACAGACTGAATGCTTGCTATGTAAACCTAAAGCACAGCTTCCTTAAAGACCTTATAATGTACATTAGCAGTTTTCAACCCTAGCTGCATAATAGAATCACCTGGGGAGCTGCATTAGTCATCTACTGCTATATAACAAATTACCCTAAAATGTTAGAGGCTTAAAAAAACACACAATTATTATCTCACTGTTTCTGTGACTAGCATTTTGGGTATGGCTTAGCTGGGTCCTTCGCTTCCAGGATCTTTCACAAGGCTGCAACCAAAATTTCTGCTTTGGTCTTATTTGAAGGTTTGACTGGGGAAGAATCTGCCTTAAAATGTGCTTATGTGAGGCTGAGCATGGTGGCTCATGCCTGTAATCCCAGCACTTTGGGAGGCTAAGACAGGTGGATCATGAGGTCAGGATTCAAGACCAGCCAGGCCAAGATGCTGAAATCCCGTCTCTACTAAAAATACAAAAATTAGCAGGGCGTGGCGGCACATGCCTGTAATCCCAGCTACTCAGGAGGCTGAGGCAGGAGAATTGCTTGAACCTGGGTGGCAGAGGTTGCAGTGAGCTGAGATCATGCCACTGCACTTCAGCCTGGGTGACAGAGCAAGACTCCATCTCAAAAAAAAAAAAAAAAAGTGCTTATGTGGTTGTTGCTGGGTTGCTGGACTAAGGGCCTCAGTTCCTTGCTGGCCATTGTCCAAAGGCCACACTCAGTTCCTTGCCAGGTGGGCATCTCCAATCTGTCAGACTGCTTCATTAAAGCACCCAAACCAAGAAGGGAATCAACAGAGAATTCTGCCAGCAAGATGGAAATCACTATCTTTCATAACCTAACCATTCTATATTCTATTTGTTAAAAGCAAGTCTCTAGGTCTAGCCTATATTCAAAGGGAGGCGTTACATAAGGACATGAATACCAGGAGAGAAGGATCATTGGAGGTTATCATAGAAATCTGCTTTCCACAGAAGCTTTTAAAACAGAGATAACAAGACCATACCCTCAGAGTCAAATTTATTTGACTGGGGGTGAGCCTAAGATCTGGTGTTCTTAAAGTCCCCCAGGTGATTTTCACATACATCCAGTGTTGGAAGAGAAGTACATAAACTTGTCATCCAGTGGGGCCTTGCCAGCCAGCTCCTGCAGCATAACTGAGGGTTCCTCAGGGATCACGTAGACATCCTGGGTTGTGCAGGCAATGGCAATTAAAGATAAACAAGGCTCATTCTTACATTCAGAGCTGTTTAATTTCATAAAGTGGTATTGAGAGTTTGTGGCAAAAGGAAAATGAATATAAGGAGAAGTTTCGTTAAAGTTGCGTTCAAGGCCAGGGATGGTGGCTCATGCCTGTAATCCCAACACTTTGGGAGGCTGAGGCGAGCAGATCGCTTAAGGTCAGGAGTTTGAGACCAGCCTGGCCAACATGGCGAAACCCCATCTCTACTAAAAATACAAAAACTAGCCGGGTCTGGTGGTGCGTGCCTGTAATCCCAGCTACTTGGGAGGCTGAGGCACGAGAATTGCTGGAACCCAGGAGGTGGAGGCTGCAGCGAGCCAAGACTGTGCCACTGCACTCCAACCCAGGAGATAGAATGAGGCTCTGTCTCTCTCTCTATATATATATAAATAATTTTTTTAAAAAGTCATGTTTGAGCACTTCTACTATTCTTATCCCTGGACCCTCTGGTTCACTATGCTTCATTTTAAAACATCCATGGGTCGTGGGGATATCTCTGAACCTTAGCTTATGCTGAAAACCCTTGAGCCCTGAAGTTCTCTGTGTCTTTGACCAACAGGACACTTCCTTTAGATGTGCAATGAATTTGGATGTGTCTGATTCCCATATGGCCAATTTCCCATCATCCTAAATAAGAAGGCATCTTGAGACACCCCACACCCTAATTGCTGTTATCCAACCTGTCATCAAGACTTGTCCGTGCACTTCACTCTGATTCCTCTCTTTTAATCCATTCCCATTGATATTACCCGGATCTAGCACTGACCTACTGCAACAGGCTGCTACCTGGTCTAAGCCTCTTCCCTTCTCCCCTATTTCCCTTCTTCCCTTCTCCTTCTTCCCAAGCCAAGGCTCCTCTTTCCAGCAAAGCATCTCTCTCTCTCTCTTACTCTCAACCCACTCCAGTATGGTTTTCCCAATCACCTGCCAATCAAATCAAGGTTCTCTAGCACGAATGGTTCAGATCTTGGCTGCTTCATTGGAATGCACCAATCACTAAGTTTTTATTGTTTAAAATAAATGTTCCCTCATAAAAATATTAAAAACTTACATAAATTATACCAAATTTAATGTTCTCTTTTAAAAAGCAACCGAGTGTCCTTAAAATTGCTCAACTTCCCCCAAACCTGCCTTTTATGGACCACTGCACAGCAAAATTTCAGAGATGTCTCATAGGCCTGTGGCATTTAAATGTGCTCTCTTCTCATGGAATAAAAGCTTCCAAGAAGAAAGCCAAGAGCTTTGTGAAGGTAAATTTCCCCATTGACTACCGAGGAAAACATTTCATATTTACCTGACTATGGAGGAGATAAATGAGACTTCCTATTAGCTTTTGACAATATTTTCCCCCTGGGGAGAACCAGACTTGGTGTAAGAGTGTTTGTGTACGCTTGACAGTGACGTTTAAAATGCTAACTTCTGGGTCAGAGAGTGATATTGGCATAAGAATATATGTAGGGCTCAGTGGACTCAGAACCCTTGATTTCTAGGTGTGTTTATGAAAGAGTACAAAGGCTAGTTAATGACATATTTGTAAGCACACATTTTGAGTAATATAGAAAAGAATTCAACAATTTTATGAATAATGTAACACTCCTTTGCTACCAAAGGCTATTATAATGCATGGTCAACCTCCTCCAATAAATCTGATTTAATTCACATTATGTGAAAGGTTTTTAATGTCCTGAAAGTGGCTGTGCAGAAAATGTAACTGCAGATAGAATTGACTCCAATATGCTCACAGAACCATTTATAACAAAATAGGAGTCAGTAAGTCATCAAAGAACCAATTAATACACCTGTGAGGAAGAAAATACTAAATGCACACATACTGTTCCTCTGAAAGCTGTTGAAGTAGACCCACTTGTGTACCCAGCACCAGCATCAAGGATTTCAGTCAGGACTGTAGCAATTGTAGCAATTGCTGTGCTCAGTGCTTAGTGAGCCACAGGCTCCTTGGAAAAGACCCTAAGCCATCACTCTGGGGACCTGAGATCCAATTCACAATGATCTTATTGTGTGACTTTGCACAAATTGCTCATTACCCCTTTTTTGTTTCTCAATTAATCATCTGTAGATAAGAATCTATTTATGTCCATAATAAGATTATATCTGGGGCCAGGTATGGTGGGTTATGCCTGTAATCCCAACACTTTGGGAGGCTGAGGTGGGAGAGCTACTTGAGCCCAGGAGTTCAAGGCTGCACTGAACCACGATCACATCACTGCCCTCCAACCTGGGCAACAGAGTGAGACCCTGTTTCTAAAAAAAACCTCCTTAAAAATTATATATGGGAGAATAGTGAGGAGTGATAGTCAAATCCAAGTTTTTTTGGTGATAAATAATGATATAATGTATTCTATCCCTCTCTTTTTTCTGAGAGTAAAAGAAAAAAACTCATTGAAACATTAATTCTCCACTGATCTTAAGGTAAAATGAGAAGTAGAAAAATGTAAGATTCACCTACTAATTAAGGAACAAAGTATTTTGGTTCCATTCTTTGTATTTAACTATCTGGGTAATTGATGTGAGTACATTAGGTCGTAGGTTGGTGCAAAAGTAATTGTAGTTTTTGCCATTACTTTTAATTTTATAAATTTACTTTTCATGGCAGTAATTTATAAATTACTTTTAATGGCAAAAAATTAAAATTACTTTTAATGCAAAACAATTACTTTTGCACCAGCCTAATAGCATTTTAAATGAATGACTGATTCTTTGTAAAACAGGAAGTATTTGGTTGATAATTGATGACGGTGGTCATAAGCCTTAACTCTATCCAAAGATTTAGGAAGTTCTTTTCTTACCTCTGGGATTATGACTAGACCAAATATTAAGCCAAAAAGGACAAGGTTAACTCCATACATCCATCGGAGAAAGATGAAATACGATGCCACTGAAGAACCAAAGTGACCTAGAGAGAGAAAAGACGGTGGGTATGAGTGCTGCAGAAGGAAAAAATGGACACTATTGAGCACTTTATGTGTGTGGTGGATTCAATTTTCACATCAGTCTGTTGAATGACACCTGGATCTCCCTTTCTTTTCCTGGATAAATAACCTGAGGCTCTTTGGGGTTAACTAACTTGCCTAAGTGCCCACAGTCAGAAAGTGAAAAAGCAGAATTTAAATCTTGGTCTGGGATGAGTGCGGTGGCTCACGTCTGTAATCCCAGCACTTTGGGAGGCTAAGGTGGGTGGATCACTTGAGGTCAGGAGTTCGAGACCAGCCTGGCCAACATGATGAAACCCTGTCTCTATTAAATATACAAAAAAATTAGCCAGGTGTGGTGGCCCAGACCTGTAATCCCAGCTACTCAGGAGGTTGAGACAGAAGAATCGCTTGAACCTAGGAGGTGAAGGTTGCAGTGAGCCAAGATCACACCACTGCACTCCAGCCTGGGCAACAGAGCGAGACTCTGTCTCAAAAATAAATAAAAATAAATAAATAAATAAATAAATAAATAAATAAATAAATAAAAAATAAATCTTGGCCTGACAAGTTCAAAACTCATTCTTTTTTCCTAATACAACAGAACCAATGAAATAATCTATTCAGAGGGCCAAGGAAACAATCCAAGCTCTTGGGAAACGCTTTAGGAAACCAATTAAAAAAACAGTGACACCAGCATACTCACTTTCAATGTCCTTGATCTTCATTTCCCAGGGGATACATTGAGTCTTGAAATTATCAAAGTCTCTCTTAAATTTGACCCATTTCTGAAATAAAAGACGTAAAACTCTCAGTTCCTTAACATGTCAACCTGGAGCACAAAGGGGCATGATGAGGGGCACGAGGAGGCCGACAGGTCAGCATGAGTCAGCATGGGTGAAGCTGCTGTCTTGCAGTCCCCAGCTCCTGCTGTCCTTGAGCCCAGGCTGCCAGAGGCAGGTGTTCAAACCTTTACTTCCCCAACGTCAGGCCTGGAGTGAGAGACAAGTGAGGGCCACCCCTTACTGTGCTGATAAAATTTCTGGTTTGGACAGTTTGTAGATAAAGTGAGAAATTCTCTGTACGATTTCTGATTTGGAGGGTCCGATTGAGTTAGCAACCTCTGATATGACTTTCTTCAACTTAAAACAAAAATTCAAAGGTAGAAGGAACTCTGGCTACTCTCAGACCCACGTCTGGCAGACAGCCAAGTGCCTCTCTCTGATAGGAACTGTCGCAAAATTGCAGGGGTGGTGCAACTGATAAGGAGATCTCAACCCATAGCTGAACATTCTTCTCCTGGGGGAACAACAGCCTCGCTTTTCTGAAAAGAGTCAGAAAGGCATGTTGCCCCCTCCTGTGATCTGTTCCCAGCTAGACACCCAGACTATGTACCAAACAGAAACCTGATCAGCCGTCTTTCTATGGCTGGGTGTTGTTTTGTCAACTCTCCAAGGGACTGCTCTCCACCAGCCCCACATTGTGGAAACAAATCCATTTGGAATAAAACAGATACTCATAGAAAGCTGAGGTAGAAATACTCATAGAAAGCATAAGAGGTAGTAGAGAGCAGATCCTAAGATCAGTTCCCATTATTATTATTATTGTTATTTTGAGATGGAGTCTCACTCTGTTGCCCAGGCTGGAGTGCAGTAGCGCAATCTCGGTTCACTGCAACCTCCACCTCCGGGGTTCAAGCTATTCTCCTGCCTCAGCCTCCTGAGTAGCTGGGATTACAAGCACGCACCACCACGCCTGGCCAATTTTTCTATTTTTAGTAGAGATGGGTTTCACCATGTTGGCCAGGCAGGCCTTGAACTCCTGATCTCAAGTGATCTGCCCGCCTCGACCTCCCAAAGTGTTGGGATTACAAACTTGAGCCACTGTGCCTGGCCCGGTTCCTATTATTAAAAGGTCTCCTCAGAACTTGTTCATGGAGGACATGAGATATTCCCCTGTAAAGTCACTAAAGTCCGCACCTGTGAAAAGAAGGGGCAAAAAATAAAGTCAGCAGAAGATGAAAGGGAAACGTTTCTTTTCAGACATGGTCTCACTCTGCTGCCCAGGCCGAGTGCAGGTGGCGCAAACATGGCTCACTGCAGCCTTGACCTCCTGGGCTCAAGTGATCTTCCTGCCTCAGCCTCCTGAGTAGCCACCACATTCGGCTAATTTTTTTTATTTTTTGTAGAGACAGGGTCTCACCATGCGGCCCAGGCTGGTCTCAAACTCCTGGGCTCAAGTGATCCGCCTGCTTTCAGCCTCCCAAAGTGTTAGGATTTCAGGTGTGAGCCACCATCCATCAAAACGGGAAAAATTTTGTGAAGGAATCAGACAGGCTTCCAGACCTGGTTTTCCAGATATAGTTTTGACCATCTCCTGATTGAATGATTGTATAAAGAAGGGAACCAGCTGTCAGAAGAGGGAGATGGTCCCAGATGCAAAAGAGAGGAGAAGCCCATCAGCAGACTGGTTGATAACAGTGGCAAAGATAGGAAGGATATGGTGATTGGCAGAAAACAGACACTGGGCAGCCCAGTCTCATTGCTTCATCCGCCCTCCCTAGCTCTGAGACTGTGTTCAAAAATACTCTTTGGGCTGGGCGTGGTGGCTCATGCCTGTAATCCCAGCTTTTTGGGAGGCTGAGGTGGGTGGATCACTTGAGGTCATGAGTTCGAAACCAGCCTGGCTAACATAGTGAAACCCTGTCTCTACTAAAAACAAATACAGGCTGGGGACGGTTGCTCACGCCTGTAATCTCAGCACTTTGGGAGATCGAGGCAGGTGGATCACCTGAGGGCAGGAGTTCAAGACCAGCCTGGCCAACATGGTCAAACCCTGTCTCTACTAAAAATACAATACTTAGCTGGGCGTGGTGGCAGGCACCTGTAATCCCAGCTATTCAGGAGGCTGAGGCAGGGGAGTCACTTAACCCAGGAGGCGGAGGTTGCAGTGAGCCAAGATCACACCACTGCACTCCAGCCAGGGTGACAGAGCGAGACTCCATCTCAAAAAAAAAAAAACAAAAAAAAAAAACCAAGAAGAAACCCCAAACCCAAAAATACTCTTTGACTATTTGGCTTCCTAGGTAGGTCTGCCTATAAAGAGAGCATTTGCCTTGAGTACTTTGGTTTCTATGGCAGTGACTTTCACTGCAAATTCACAGATAGGAATTGGGATGATGGTTTAGCTTCTCGTATTACTAACTCAGCTATCAAAAATAAAAGGCATGACTGCTGTGGACTTCAAATTTTCCATCTTGCATCACTTATTTCTTCTTGTAAGTTAATAATCCAGCATCTGGTTTCATGTAGCAGTCTCATAAGCTTTATTAATGCGAGTCCTCCCTCGAGAGATGGATCCCCTGTCAGGGTGCTGATAAAATCAGTATAAAATATAGGCTTGCAAGGCTGAGGACCAGCAGGGGTAATGAACATTGCCAAGTGAGGTCCCTGGAGGCACAGCCTGCCGGTCGGTTCCTTGGCAACCACCTGACAGCCCCTCAAGGCTGTGGATATCTCGGACTGAAAAGTGAGGCCCCAGAACTGGAGCAGAGGCAGAGAGAGGCCTGGGAGATGCTCTGGCATGGATTCTCTTATCCTTCATTGGTTGACAGAGTCAGAAAACTGGACTGGGGCATGGGCAGAAGATTCCAAGCCCCTTTCTCAGGCCTGTGTGAGGTGGTTGCTGCTGGTCCTAGGATGGGTTGTTAGTTGTCATGCTGTCTTGCCCTCCAGCTATACATAGGAAAAAAGTTTCAAGTCATGGTGGAGCAAGACACAGGCAAGCTACATGTCCTGTCAATAAAATCAGGATCTGGGTGACTAAAATGAAAACAACCAGTGAGGCCTGGGAAATATTATTGCAGAACAGGGAAAAAGGGACACCATTCTTTGATATTTGTGGAAAACATTTCCTCCAAGATACATACATAAATTCTAGAAAGCAGGTCAGCATTCCTAATAGGATGCAATAAATATGGCTTCTAAAGTAAAGGATATCAATTTGAAAAGAATACAGATGAGATATGGAAGGATTACAAGGAAGCTAAGAGCTTAGTAATTGAATGAAAAAAACATTAGACAAAATAAAGACTATAATTGACACAGAGGAAAATGGATTCCATGATATTGAGAATAAACCTGATAAATTTCTGAGATTGCAAAGAGAAAGAAGCAAAGAGCTAAAAAATAACGTGGAAAAGTAAATATGGGGGATGGGGGTGGGGGGAGGCAATCCTTTTCCTAAGGGGGAAGCTAGAACTATGTGAACAGAAACATGGTTTAACAGAATCATTTATCAAAGATGTATTTGTCTAGAGACCTGCTGTACAACACAATGTTTACACTTAACAACATGGTATTGTGTACTTAATTAGTTAAAAAGCTAAATCTCAAGTGTTCTTACTGCAATAAAAAAGCAGTGAATACAAATTAAAGAAAGAATAATAACCTATTTTTTTACCCAATAGATTAGCACAAAGTTAAAAAGACGGTAACATTCATAACTAGTGAAGATAAGCCATTCTCCGACTTTGTTCCTTTGAGTGTGAGTTGCTATAGATTGGGGAAAATAGTTTGAAAAATGTGTAGTAAAAGTTAAAGTTAAAATATGCACACTTTTGAACTAGCAGTACTATTTGAGGGACTGTCTTATTGTGATTTTAAAAAACACATGGATCCAAGATAAATGTAAAAGGTGTTTGTTGAAGCATTGTTTGTCACAGTAAAAATCTAGAAAAAAAATATACTTGAACAGCACATTCTTCATTGGAAAAAATAAGATGTGAGTGTGCAGTTGGTAAGTGGTAAATAGTCTCTAGACAAAATTAATAAAATGACCTATAGAGAGTTGTCTGGCAAGTATAACTGGAAAATGAGAAAAAATAATATTAGGAATAAGAAAGATTGAGTCCGGGCATGGTGGCTTACTCCTGTAATCCCAGCACTTTGGGAGGCTGAGGCAGGAGGATCACCTGAGGTCAGGATTTCGAGACCAGCCTGGCCAACATGGTGAAACATCGCATCTACTAAAAATACAAAAATTAGCCGGGTATGGTGGCGCATGCCCATAATCCCAGCTACTTGGGAGGCTGAGGCAGGAGAATTGCTTGAACCTGGGAGGCAGAGGTTGTAGTGAGCCGAGATCATGCTGCTGCACTCTAGCCTGGGCGACAGAGAAAAAAAAACAAAAAAACAAAGGAATAAGAAAGATTCAAACCCAACAGATATAAAAAGTAATTACAAATTTATGGGGCTACCATATGCGACTTTCTGTTAACACATATGAAAATTTTAATGAAATGATCAAGTTTCAGGAAGAATATGAATTATTGAAATGGTCTCAAGAAAAAGTTAAAACTTGAGTACATCAATAAACTGAATACTTGAAAAAAATTTCAAGGTATTCTATAAAAATGGCTCTCGATCTCTACTATTGAAAGGTTATCATCTTTAAAATTAACAAAAAGTGTATTATCATGCTCCCAAAACTGATTTACAGCATAAAGAGGAGGTAACGCTATTCATTTACAATTATAATGCAAGTGCAGTCCTAATGTTAAAATCTGCCAAGATACTGCACATGCATACACTTGTGTACAAACACACACAAATTCATATCAATCTTATGAAAATGTATGTAAAAATCATAAATAAAATATCGGAAAATCAAACGTGTCTGTGGAATTAAAAGTAATGTACCGTGACTGAGGTTATCCCAGAAATAAAAAAAAATTAATAACATAAAGGAAAAGGTGTTTAATAAAACCTAATTATCTATTTCCAATGAAATGGAAGTCTTACTAAACAACAACTAGACAATAATTTTTACGGTGACAAAGAAAATCTATTTCAAGCCATCAACTCCCATCAGCTTAGTGTGAAAGTCATTAGAGTCATTCTCATTAAAGTGATGCAAAGATAAGGAGAGCTATGATCACCATTATCAATTGATGCTGTTCTAGGATGGCTAGTTCACATTTTAGAATTGGAATGAGATGTCACATTTAGGAGAACCCAACAAAAACATCTTTATGAACATAATCAGATGAAAAAGATTAGAATTAATAAGAGAGAGGCCGGGCGTGGTGGCTCACGCCTGTAATCCCAGCACTTTGGGAGGCCGAGGCGGGCGGATCACGAGGTCAGGAGATCGAGACCATCCTGGCTAACACGGTGAAACCCCGTCTCTACTAAAAACACAAAAAATTAGCCGGGCGTGGTGGCGGGCGCCTGTAGTCCCAGGTACTCGGGAGGCTGAGGCAGGAGAATGGCGTGAACCCGGGAGGCAGAGCTCGCAGTGAGCCGAGGTCGCGCCACCGCATTCCAGCTTGGGCAACAGAGTGAGACTCCGTCTCAAAAAAAAAAAAAAAAAGAAAAGAAAAGAAAAAAAAAAGAATTAATAAGAGAGTACCATAAGAGAACCAGATATAAAATTAGCACAAAAATTTGTAGCTTTCTTACATACTACCAATAACTAGTTATTAAATAATTGAAAAATGATCGCATTTGCAAAAGCAACTAGGCTATCAAATGTGCAGAAATAAAACATGGAAAAGATCTATAGGGAGAAAATGACAAACTTTGCTTAAGGATATAATATGGGCTTGAGAAATGTATGGTATCCTAGATGTGAAAACTAAATATTGTATAGATAAGGAAGTCCCAAATTAAATACAGGATTAAAAGAAATTCCAACCAAAATCTCAATACACTATGGTGGAACTTGGCAAAGGGATTTTTAAAAATGCATGTAGAAACATGGGCAAGACAGCCAAGACATTTTTTTATTTTTTAAAAACAAAGTTTTATCAGGGTGTGGTGGAGTGCACCTGTAGTCCTAGCTACTCAGGAGGCTGAGGCTGAGGCTGGAGGATCTCTTGAGGCCAGGAGTTCAAGGCTGCAGTGAGCTCTTGAGCCAAGGAGTTCAAGGCTGCCACTAAGGCTGGAGTGGTGACGCTGCACTCCAGCCTTAGTGGCAGAGTGAGACTCTGTTTCTAAAAACAAACAAACAAAAAACCAAAGGTAAAAAGGGGAACCTAGAACTACCAGGCATTTGATGTCATTGAGGTAATGACATCAAATGATTGTTCAGAATAAAAGCCCTGAAACAGGCTCTGTACAAGAATTAAGTGAATGAGAATGGTAGTTTTTCAAATCAGTGGGTAAAGGAAGGATACTTCAGTAAGTCTCACTTTAAATATCCAACATGAAACATTACCCTAACTTAAATCAGATGCCCAGGTTATGATACAACTCAACAAAACAGAGCTGCCCCCATCCGTCTGGGGACATCGCTGTTTATCATCCACGTGACCCTGATCACACCACAGCCCTTCTGGGTCTCCACCAACTCAACCTGTCCTGATTTGGGGTTTGGAAAATAAAATCCCAGTGGTTTTAACATCATTAGTTCTCTAAGTGTATTCACTGGAGAGAAGACAAGTCTCAAATGTATTGAAGCCCTCACAGTAAGTATGGAGAAATTGGCAGGATACGATTGGTTTCCATGCCTAGATGGATCAGAATGGTCAGGTGGCCCTCACACCCAGGATTCTGGGGGCAGCTGGACACAAATGGCGAAGCTGGGCAGTTGCCGAAGTTGGTCGCCAGATTCCAAAGCTGAGCAAGCCCTCCCAACAGATTCACTGCCCCCACCCCACACACCTTGGCCATCAGCATCTTGTAGGCATATAGTTGCTTGCCTTTCCCCTTTCCCAAGGCACCTTCATACTTCTCCACAAATTCCTGGGCCTCCCTGCTTAGAAAAAAAAAAAAAAGCAGGATTTCAGTTAGCACCTAACCAGAGGAAATCTGAATTATGAAGCCTCAAACACATGTGTGAAGGCTTATGTCTTTGTATACCCCTGGTTAAAATATAAATTCCATGAAGGCACGACATTCTGTCTGTTTTATCCACTGAAGTTTCCCAAATGCTGAGAAGAGTGCGAGGTACATAACAGGCATGGTAGGCAGAACTGTGGCCCCTGTGACCTTCGTCTGGTGGTGTTCCACCCATGAATATAATATGTTACATGGCAAAAAGGACTTTTAAAATGTAGTTAAGATTACTGATTTTATTTTATTTATTTATTTATTTTTAGAGATAGGGTCTCACTGTGTTGCTCAGGCTGCTCTTGACCTCCTGAGCTCAAGCAGTCACCTGCCTCGGCCTCCCAAAGTGCTGGGATTACAGGTGTGAACCACCATGCCCGGCCAAGATTATTGATTTTAAAATAAGGAGATTATTCTGGGTCATCTGCATGGCCCCAGTGTAATAAAATAATATGAGCCCTTAAAAACAGAAGAGAAGTTTCTTAAGAAATCTCCAAATTGCTTTCCACGATGGTTGAACTAATTTACATTCCCACCAACAATGTATAAGTGTTTTTTGTTTGTTTGTTTGTTTGTTTTTCCGCACCCTTACCAGCATCTGTTAGGTTTTGACTTTTTAATAATAGCCATTCTGACTGGTGGAAGATGGTGTGTCATTGTGGTTTTGATTTGCATTTTTCTGATAATTAGTGATGATGAGAATTTTCTCATATGTTTGTTGGAGGCTTGTATGTCTTCTTTTGAGAAGTGTTTGTTCATATTCTTTGTCCACTTTTTAATGGAGTTATTTGTTTTTTGCTTGTTGAATTGTGTAAGTTCTTTACAGATTTTGGATATTAGACTTTTGTCAGATGCATAGTTTGAGAATATTTTCTCCATTCTGTAGGTTGTCTGTTTACTCTGCTGATAGTTTCTTTTGTTGTGCAGCAGCTTTGTAGTTTGATTAGGTCCCATGTGTCAATTTTTGTTTTTGTTGCAGTTGCTATTGAGGACTTAGTCGTAAATTCTTTCCCAAGGCCAATATCCAGAATGATATTTCCTAGGTTTTCTTCTAGGATTTTAATAATTTTAGGTCTTACATTCAAGTATTTAATCCATCTTGTGCTGATTTTTGTGTATGGTGAGAGGCGGGGGTCCAGTTTCACTCTTCTGCATATGTCTAGCCAGTTATCCCAGCACCATTTATTGAATAGGGAGTCCTTCCCCATTGCTTGTTTTTTGTTGATTTTATTGAAGATCAGATGGTTGTAGGTGGGCAGCTTTATTTCTGCATTCTCTATTCAGTTCCATTGGTCTATGTGTCTGTTTTTGTACCAGTACTGTGCTGTTTTCGTTACTGTAGCCTCATAGTATAGTTTGAAGTTGAGTAATGTGATGCCTCTGGCTTTATTCTTTTTGTTTAGGATAGCTTTGGCTGTTTGGGCTCATTTTTGGTTCCTGTGAATTTTAGAATCTTTTTTTCTATTTCTGTGAAAAATGACATTGGTAGTTTGGTAGAAATAGCATTGAATCTGTAGATTGCTTTCAGTAGTATGGGCATTTTAATGATATTGATTCTTCCAATCCATGAGCATGGATTTTTTTTTGGTATTACCTATGATTTCTTTAGTCATTGTATTGTAGTTCTCCTTGTAGAGATCTTTCACCTCCTTGGTTAGATGAATTCCAAGGTATTTTATTTTATTTTATTTTTGTGACTATTGTAAATGGGATTGTATTATTGATTTGGTTCTCTGCTTGAATGTTACTAGATCAAGAAATGCTCTTGATTTTTGTACATTTGTACATTGATTTTGTATCTTGAAACTTTGCTGAAGTCTTTTATCAATTCCAGGAGCCTTTTGGCAGAGTCTTTAGGGTTTTCTAGGTAGAGAATCATATAATCAGCAAAGAGAGATACTTTGACTTCTTTTCCTACTTTTATTTCCTTCTTTCCTGCCTTTCATTTTTCTCCTCTTGCCTGATTGCTCTGATTAAGACTTCCAGTACTATGTTGAATAGGAGAAGTGAGAATGGGCATTCTTGTCTTGTTCCAGTTCTTAAGGGAAATTCTTCCAGTTTTTGCCCATTCAGTATGAATTTCACTATGAGTTTCTCATAGATAACTTTTATTATTTTGAGGTATGTTCCTTCAATGCCTAGTTTGTTGGAGGCTTTTATCATGAAGGAATATTAGATTTTATCAAACGTGGAGCAGGAATATTCTTGACTCTCTGTGTCTGGGGCCCCTCTGGAGGGGCTACACAAAAAGCATAAGAAGGAAGTGAATTCAGCCAACAATCAGTGAGCTCAGAAGAGAACCTTAGCCCTGGGTGAGAACTGCAGCCCTACTGATACCATAATTTTGGTGTGATGAGACCCTGAACAGAGAATCCAGCCATGCCATGCTGGACTTCTGACCTACAGAACTGTGCACTAATTAACGAGTGGTATTTTAAATTCTTAACCTGTGGTAATTTGTTGCAATAGCAATATAAAATTAATACAGATGCTCCTTGATGTACAAGGGGTTATGTTCCAATAAACTTATTGTAAGTTGAAAACATCGTTAAGTTGAAAATGTACTTAATACCCCAAAAAGGCCATTAAGTAAAAAATTGTAAGTTGAACCATCATAAGCCCATATGCTCCTCAACTTATGATGCAGTATATCCAATAAACCCACTGTAAAGCTGAAAAATTATAAGTTGAACCATTGTAAGTCAGGCATCATTGGATAGGTATTTGTGGAACACATGGATGTTGACTGAGTGAGTGAATGAGCACCCTGTTAAAGTTGGATGAGAAACAAATGAATCAATTTGTCTATTAAATATTCTGCAGTGGTTGCTGGACCTGGTGAGGACAGCCTTTGAGAACAGATTGTTAAATCTTCAGGAACTTGGCCAACCAGTTGTTAAACTGTTAGTAGCTTTGAGTTGGCCATGGTGGGAGTATTTAGACCACGGAAATCAGCAAATACTATGACCAGGGCTCCTCCTCCTGTCCCACACCTCAGAAAGCTAGTTTATCAGCAACCACTAGATAAACCCAATCATGCGAGTGAAGAATGAAGTCCGTCTTAGGGCAGATGGAAGAAGGTGTTGTGGAGCTGTGTGTGTCTGGCTGCTATTGCTACAGTCACCACTGCTCCTACAAAATGCCTACCCCACTGTTCCTGCTGCCTCCAAGGTACAAGTGTGGACAGTTGATACGTGTGAAGTTGCATCCTAACCTTGAGGCTGGCTTTATTGGGATGTCTCAGTGTCTCAATGCTAGTGAGGCTGCCTGTCCTACTCCTAAACCCAGGGTCAAGAACTGGGCTGTATGTCCTCCTCAATGGGATCTTCTCCCTGTTCCCCCCCTTGGCAGGAGATGTCCTGCCAGTGACTTATCAGTGAACACCAATACCACTGCAACAACAAAGAATGGTTTCACAATATTCATATTTTTGTCTTCTTCCTGTATTTTACAAGTGGGCAAATACTCAAAAGCACTTGGAGTTCTATGAGCTTAAATGTGCCAGGTTTTAAGATTTAGCAGCTTCAGTTAACAATTCTCAAAAGTAGGGGCAGCTCTTGCGCCTGAGTCATTGAGCCCAGCAGCAAACGCTTCTCTTCTCTCTGTTCAGACTCTGTGTCCAGACATCCAGCAAACCCCCAAGAGAACAGGGGACCCTACCAAAGGCTAGTTGCAAACTATGAAGACCAGTCACTGTGAAGAGTCCACCTGGTTTATGAATTTCCATGGGCACAGCAAACTTTTTTTGAACTCTGTGAAGATATATAAATAATAACAAAGGCACAAAGGGCATGCCCTTCATGGTTTCTGATGAGAAGTTTCTTGTCATTATAATTGTGTTTTTTTCCCTGTAGGTGATGTTTTGTTTCTGTCTGACTGCCTACAAGTTTTTAGAAGTTTGACTATGATGTGTCTTGGAATGAATTTCTTTGCTTTGGGTTTATCCTGCTTGGGATTTGTTTTGCTTCTTGAATTTGTAAGTTTTGCCAAATCTGAGACAGTTTTAGCCATAATTTCTTTGAATACTTTTTCAGTCTCATCCTTTTTCTCCTCTTTTTCTGGAATTCCAACGATACTAATGTTATGTCTTTTATTATAGTCCCACACATCCTTGAAGTTCTGTGCATTTTCTTCCAGGCTATTTTCTCTCTATAGTTTAGATTGGGTAATTTCTCTTGTTCTATCTCCAAGTTCACTGAGTTTTTACTCTGTTCTCTTCATTCTGTTGTTGAGCCCACTCACTGAGTTTTAAAAATTTCAGTTATTGTATTTTTTTACTTCTAAAATTTCCAGTTGTTCCTCTTTATAGCTTCTATTTTTTTTCTGAGACTGTTTTTCTCATTTGTTTCATGTGTTCACAATTGCTCATTGAAGCATTTTTATGATGGTTGCTTTAAAACCTTTGTCGGGCAAGGTGTGGCTCATGTCTGTGATCCCAGTGTCTTGCGAGGCTGAGGTGGGAGGATTGCTTGAGCCAAGAGTTCGAGACCAGCCTGAGCAATATAGTGAGACCCTGTCTCTACAAAAATAAAAAATAAAAATAAATAAAATAAAACCTTTGTCAGACAATTCTAACATCTCTGTCATCTTGGTGTTAAAACCTGTTGATCATCTTTTGTCATTTAGTTTGAGGTCTTCCTGGTTCTTGGTATGGCAAGCGATTTTTAATTGAAACCTGGACTTTTGGATATTATAAGACTCTAGGTATTATTTAAATCTTATGTTTTACCAGGCCTCCTCTGACATTGCTATGGTAGTTGTAGGTAATGTTGCCTGATTACTTCCAGGTGGGGGTGAAAGTCCAGGTTCTTCATTTGGCCTCCTTTGACACCTGAGGCTGAGGAGAAGCTCCTTGTTACCGCTGAGCAGGGATGGGGTTCAGGCCTCCACTCAAGCCTGGTTACTTCCAAGTCATGGTGAGAGTCTAGACTCCCCACATGGTCCTCACCGAAACCATGGGGAAAAGGAGGGATCATTACTACCTGCTGGGGATGAAAATTCCTGCTTCCCACTCAGCCTCCTCTGGCACACCCTGGTTAGGGGTATTGGGGCACCTTGCTTTGGCCTGGCAAAGGTGGGTATCCAGGCTTCCCCACTTGCCTTTGCTGCCAGGGTTGGCAATGGGGGCTGTTGTTTTGTCTGTGGTATTTGGCTGGAGAACAGTTATTGTCCAAAAGTTTTCTGTCTTGCCAGTCTGTTTCTTCCCTGGTCCTTTGGCCAGAAATAGCAGATTTTTCTTGGGGCATTTTTTTTGGCTGCCTCCATTGGAGTTTTGGGGTTGCCAGCTTTTCCAATAGCCAGTCTGGGATATAGAAGGTAAAAAAGAAAATCCAAGGAACTCAATGCCCTGGTCATCCCTTTGGTCCTGAGGTTCTTAGCCAGTTTGCCTTCTTCTTTCTACCTTTTCAAATCTTCTTATATTTGCTTTAAATATGGCATTCAGGGTTTTCATTGTACTTAGTGGGAAGAATAGGGAAAAGCGTCTCTACTCCATCTACCTAGAAGCAGAAGTCCTCTAATCACTCTGAAGAAAGAAAGCAGTTTGGGTAGTTTTCTAAGATATCAGGCTTTGGACAAAGCTGAGAGACAGACCTGATTAATTCTATGATTAAAGCAAATATCCCTGATTCATGGGCACTAGAAGCTGTTATGCCAACTTCACATCCTACTGTGTATCATTATTGATGATGTCCACATGCTTCTCTGATTCATCTTTGTTCCCCAACCTCATCTCTCAGGGCTCAGCATAGTGTCAGGCATAAAAGATGTTCAAGCTTTAATAATAACAGTAATCGCTATTTTTTAATTGCATATTATATGCTGGGCACTTAATAAAAATATTTTGAAATTGTTTGAACAACCCTGTGAGGTAGATGTTATTATTCCCATTTTACAAGTGAGAATTATTAGGCTCAGAGAGGTTAAGGGAAGGAAGTGACCCTGAGAGGGATTGGGTAGCCAACCAAAGTCTCCAGATGTGGCAGAGGTGTGAATTCAGGTTTGCCCCAACTCACTGCTGTTGCTTTTTATGTCCAGCCAGCCTTTTGTTTTCATATGTTTTTTGGAGACAGAGTCTCACTTTGTCACCAAGGCTGGAGTGCAGCGGCATGATCTCGGCTCACTGCAACCTCCACTTCCTGGTTCAAAAAATTCTCCTACCTCAGCCACCAAGCAGCTGGGATTACAGGCACACACCACCACGCCCGGCTAACTTTTGTATTTTTAGTAGAGATGAGGTTCCACCATGTTGACCAGGCTGGTCTTGAACTCTTGACCTCAAGTGATCTGCCCGCCTCAGCCTCCCAAAGTGCTGGGATTATAGGTGTGAGCCACCACACCCAGCACTAGCAAGCCTTTTTAGATAGTCTACAGTAACCATGCTCAGGTCAGCCAGTGCCTGACTGGGCCAGAGAATGGGGCCCCCACACTACTATTTCTAAAAGAGAGGATGTAGTATGGGGATGCCGTCTGCAACTGGAGACTTTATTTTCAGAAGAAGAAATCATACTGGTAGCAAAGGGGTTGCGTTCTCGAATGTCTGGTAATTCTGGAGAGACGATTACAAATTAAGAGAGCAGGCTCTGTAATCCCAGCACTTTGGGAGGCCAAGGTGGGAATATCACTTGAGCCCAGGAGTTCGAGACCAGTCCCGGCAACATAGCGAGACCTTGTCTCTAAAACAACAACTACAACAAACAAAAAAACAGTGCAGGCTCTGGAGCCAGAATTCCTGAGTCCAAATCCTGGCTGCGCCACTTAACTTGCTGTGTGGCCTCAGTCTTCTCATCAGTAAAATGGTGACAATAATGGCAGTACCGACATCACAGGGTGATTGTGAGGATTCAGTGAATTGTTATACATACCACACTCAGAACAGTGCCTGGCACAAAGGGCATGCCCAGCAAAGACTGGCTGTATATAAAAAGGAATTGATAGTAAATGATGAAAAAGAGACAGCTCTGAAAACAAGAACAGCATCCAGTCAAGAGAGTGGACAGTGCCTTGGAATGAGAGGGACAGTAAATCAATCAGCCTGCTTGTGGGGAGGGGCAATGGGGACCTCCCTGCAGAGGAGGCACTTGGCCCGAGTCTTACAAGGTGTGTAGGAGTTAGCAAGGAGAGGTGGCAGAAAGCACAGATCTTCTAGGCAGAGGCACCAGCTCGGGTGGAGACTAGAGGCTGGAGAGACTTAAATCTGAGTCCAGGATAAGGAGCCTTGGGGAAGGGAAGAAGCTAGGAAGAGACAGGAGGGAGGTCCAGGGAAAGGAGACCCACTGTTTGCTGGGGAGGCCCACTCCAGTGAGAGAGGCATAGGTCTCCTTGGCTTCTCAGGCCTTAGCTTCTTCCTATCCTGCCAGCCCCAGGAACTCTGCCCCTCAGAGGCAGGAAGGAGATGTCAGATTTCTCCTCTGGCAGCTGAGGAGCCCTCAGGGATTGTCACGGTCCCTGAGACTTCCAGCCAGCTGGAGATCTCATTTCCATAGGCATCAAGGCTGCACTTTTTCCACTGTTAATAAAAGATGTGTTCTGGTGACACCTGAGTGGGAGTGAGGTTCTATTAGAGTGACAGATGGCTGTTCTGCCCTGCTGGCAGGAGAAGGAGCCCAGCTTGGAGGGAGCAGGGAGAAAGGATTCAAAAAGAGGAGGCTGAGGGCCGGGCGCGGTGGCTCATGCCTGTAATCTCAGCACTTTGGGAGGCCGAGGCGGGCGGATCATGAGGTCAGGAGATTGAGACCATCCTGGCTAACACGGTGAAACCCCGTCTGTACTAAAAATACAGAAAATTAGCTGGGCACGGTGGTGGGCGCCTGTAGTCCCAGCTACTCGGCAGGCTGAGGCAGGAGAATCGCTTGAACCTGGGAGGCGGAGGTTGCAGTGAGCCGAGATTGTGCCACTGCACTCCATCCTGGGCGACAGAGCGATACTCCATCTCAAAAAAAAAAAAAAAAAAGAGGAGGCTGAGAAGGAAGACAGTCCAGAGCTGAGTCTAGCTTCCACACTGTCGCCACTCACCACATGGGACTATTTAAATTTTTAAAATTAATTTGTTATTTTATTATTTAATTGACAAATGGGCCAGGTGTGGTGGCCCATACCTGTAATCACAATACTTGGGGAAGCTGAGGTGGGAGGATCGCTTGAGTCCAGGAGTTCGAGATCAGCCTGGGCAACATAGCGAGACCCTGTATCCACAAAAAAATTTAAAAATTAGCCAGGTATGGTGGCATATGCCTGTAGTCCCAGCCACTGGAGAGGTTGTGGCAGGCGGATCACTTGAGCCCAGGAATTCAAGGCCACAGTGAGTTAAAATGGTGGACTGGACTCCAGCGTGGGTGACAGAGCAAGACTCTGTCTCTTAAAAATAAATTGTATATATTTATGGTGTACATGCTGTTTTGATATATGCATACATTATGAATTGTCAAATCGAGTTAATTAACATACGCATTACCTCCCATACTTGTTTCTTGTATGTGGTGAGAACACTTATAATCTATTCTTAGCAATTTTCAGGTATCCAATATATTGTTATTAATTATAGTCACTATGCTATACATAAATTTAAGTTTAAATAAAAGCTAAAACAAAAAAATCAGTTTTTCGGTTACACTAATCTGTTTTAAGCACTCAGTAACCACACGTGGTAGTGGCTATATGTTACACAGTGCAGATTTTGACTGATTTCCATCATTGCAGAAAGCTCTGGTGCTCAGCAGCACTGGCCTAAAGCATAGGCCTGGAGGCACTACGAGGAGGTGTTTCTTCTTGCAGCCATATAGGAGATGACGTAATAATTTGCAGGGCCGTGGGGTAAGCTCTGTTTTCCTTGTCGGGGTCGGCCCAGTGTTGGTGTAGCTAGATCTTTACTGTGCCTGTTGGGGTAAATACTGCAAAAACATGGCTGCCAAATTGCTGTGCTTAATAAAGGGTGAGGAGTTTGAACGAGCAATGAGGAAGCTCATGTATGAGAGGAGCCAGGGAGCATGGGCTTCCTACAGAGGAAACGGGGGGAGTGCCACTCCCAACGCTGTGGCAAAAAAACAGAGGGACCTTGGGGAAAACGGTCATGTTGGATAGGAACTTTTTAGCAGAAACTCAAAAAGTATGTAATATGACTACTGCTGTTATTTCTTTTCTTTTCTTTCTTTTTTTTTTGATACAGAGTCTCCCTCTGTTGCCCAGGCTGGAGTTCAGTGGCATGATCTCGGCTCACTACAACCTCTGTCTCCTGGGTTCAAGCTATTCTCCTGCCTCAGCCTCCCGAGTAACTGGGACTACAGGTGCCCGCAACCACCCCCGGCTAATTTTTGTCTTTTTAGTAGAGACGGGGTTTCACCATGTTGTCCAGGCTGGTCTCAAACTCCTGACCTCAAGTGATCCACCTGCCTTGGCCTCCCAAAGTGCTGGGATTACAGGTGTGAGTCTACTGTTATTTTAAAACTGCAGCAAAGACCCCAGAATCATCAAATGCTCCGTGCATCAGCCTTTTGCATGGAAACCAAAGAAGTGGCTGAGTAGAAAACAGGAGTCGAGTGGCATGGGCAGGAGGCCTGTTGCCATTCACAGAGTGATATTCATGTTGCATGGGGGCCAGCTTGGCCTGGTGCCAGGCAATGGGGATGTGACAGTGGCTCAGGCAGACCCTCTCCCACTCACCGTGCAAATCACGCAAGCGAGAGTGTGTACACATGGAGAGACACTGGGTGCTCCAGGAACATGAGAGAGAGCTGCTCTTGAGGAGAAGGGGTCTAGAAAGCTTCCAGGAGAAGGCATGTCTCTGTTGGGCTGTGAGGGAGGCACAGAAGCCACGAGATGAAGTGTGGCATGGGATAAAAGGGGCAGCCAGGCAAGGGAAGGCATGGGCACAGGTCGGGAGTCCTCCGAGTCTTCCATGGCTCCCCCTCTAGGCCCTGTGGTGCTGGCGAACAGCACGGCCGCCTTGGCTCTCATGGGGCTCCCTGAGTGCTGTCCTCGCTGGAGCAGCCCCCTCACATCAAGCCCCTTTGGGGAAATGTGGAGGGAGGGCTCCCATTCCCATCAGAAGGAGCTGTGGACATCGGAAGGCCCTGGCTGACCCGCAGCCTGCTCACCTGAGCTCTGTCAGCTTCTTCGCCATGGGCCAGGGCTTGCTCCGCATGGTGGCAATGAGCTTCTTTTTTTCTTCCACCTGCTCCAGGATCTGGGCCAGTTCCTCCTCGGACAGGGACTCCCCACCAGAGGCACTGGAGGCCAAGGAGGATGACCTGGAGGCAGAGCCAGGGCGGAGGCAGAGGGAAGTTGGAAAGGAGGTGGTGTCCTCAGGTGCTGTGGAATGAGGAGGGGCCCATGGAAGATGGCACCCCTTCCCCTGCTCAGAAGCCATTAGTGACTCCCATTGCCTGGCAGCGGAGGCCAAAATTCTACCCTGTAGCCCAGGGCCCTGGAGGGCTGCCTCCCCATCCTCCATTTCTCTGAGTCCTCCCACAAACCACATGCCAGCTCAGTGTTCCCCAACAGAAATAGGACACAAGCCACTTACTGTAATGCAAATTTTTCTAGTAGCCACGTTGAAGTGGTAAAAAGCAATGGATTAAAGCAATTTTAATAATACAGTTTATTTACTCAAATATATTAAAAACTGGAATTTAACCTGTAATCAATATAAAATTATTAGAGATATTTCAGTCCTTTAAAAAATACTGTCTTCAAAGGTCACTGTTCATTTTGTACTCATACTGCAAGGCTATTCAGATGATAAACTTTCATCAGATATATTTAATTTGTATTTATATTTCATAAGTTTATAGGTGAAAAAAGTAGATTTGCCCAAATTGTTTTAGACATACTTAAAAGATTCCCAAGAACTGAATCAAGTAGCAGAATATGGTTTTCCTTTGATATTTGTATCTGCATTGACAACAGTAGTTTGTCTTTTTGTAGAAGAACTGTTTTGGCTTCAAAGTCAAATCAAATCAGTTTCAAAACTACATCTGTCCAAATTAAGTAAATTCACCAACTCTTATGTCAACTCAGTGGCATTAACACTGAGTTACAATTAAATGAGGAATTCAGTTGCTCAGTCACACTGGCCACATTTCAAGTGCTCAGCAGCCACATGCAGCTAGTGGCTGTCATATTGGACAGCAGGGCTGTGGAGAATTTCCAGCTGGGGAGCTCCCCATCTCCCAGATAATACTATGTGCTCAGTTGTCACAAAATCCAAGTGTCTGTGTGTGCTCCCTACAGCCTCCAGCCTATTCTGACTCCATTTTTTTTTTTTTTTTTGAGATGGAGTCTTGCTCTGTGGCCCAGGCTGGAGTGCAGTGGCGCAATCTCGGCTCACTGCAAGCTCCACCTCCTGGGTTCACGCCATTCTCCCACCTTAGCCTCCGGAGTAGCTGGCACTACAGGCACCCGCCACCACGCCTGGCTAATTTTTTGTATTTTTAGTAGAAATGGGGTTTCACCATGTTAGCCAGGATGATCTCGATCTCCTGACCTCGCGATCCACCCACCTCGGCCTCCCAAAGTGCTGGGATTACAGGCGTGAGCCACCACGCCCGGCCTCTGACTCCTTTAGTGATGAAAAATAGTGACTCTCAGCTGAGTGAGACAGCGCCCAATCGGGTAGGTAAAGGAAAGGACTAAGGAAGGGTTATGGCTGGGCAGCCTGAGTGTGTTTCATAAATGGTAGTATTAGGGTGTGGGCTTGGGTTACTGCAGGTTTTAGAGACAGGTTTGCAGCAGCCTCTGGGTGTTTTAGCTTCTGATTAACTCCTGGGGAGCAAAGAAGAAGTTTTAGGATGCCCTTGAAGGTTGAAAAGCCTAGAACACAGAGATATTTTTTTTTTTTTTGCCATACTTCATGCACACCCAATTGATGATATCTGCCTTTGAGTCTCTGCGTAGGGTGTTCCCACAGTTTGGGGTGTTGGACATTCAGTCATTGCTTATTTAGATTCCACCTGTTATTCAAAGCCTCACTGGGATGTTCACCTTCTCCATGGAGGAACCCTGATGGCCCAGCACCCGGGGAATTCAGCGCTCCATCAAGTCCTGTCTTGCATGCATATTGCTTTCTGCCTTGTCTTAGGATTACCAATGCCTATGTGTTATCTCCTCTGCCACACTGTCAGTATCTAGGCAACGGGAACTGAATGTTTTCATCTCTCTAATGCCTTGGCATGGCCCTCAGCTGAAAATGACATAAATGAGTCTGTGGCCCATTGGGATGGTACAGGCTCCCTCTAAAGTTCAGGGCACCCAGGGCCCATCAACGGTGCATTCACGTTATTTTTAAATGGCCAAGGGCACGATGCACCCTTTACCTCTTTAGTTCATGTCTGGGAGCAACCAGACAGTAGACAAAGGCTGTAACCAAGCCAGGATGGTTGGCATGGCGACAGGAAAAAAATCAGTGCCCTTGTTTAAAAGCCTCTCTGTAAAGGTGGAGAGGAAGATGGAGCACCCAACTGAGGCTGTGGGCAAAAAGGATTTGCTACAAACCACCGGGAAAGAACATCAACTCTTCACCATAATCCTAATATTCCCAACTGTTGCAAAAGAATTCCTATTCTATCACAAAGAATTCTTAAAACAATATGAGCAACGAATAAGGCATCTGTTATCCTCAATGACTGAAAAAGGGAGGCAAAGAGAGAGACACCTATTAAAATTGATAACAAAAACATGAACCCCAAATCTTCACTTTCTGATGCCATAAGCTGGCCCTGTCCACTAACCCACACGTGCTAGTTGGTGCCAATGGTAATGGAACAAAGGAGGCAAAACAAATAAAACCTCCAAGCTCCAGAATTTCAGAGCTGGTAGCATCCTTGAAGGTCTCCTGGACCAGTGCCACATTTCCAGCAGAGGAAACTGGCCCAGATCCGGAAGCCGGAACGAGGTGTGCTTAAGCCCTCAGATGGTTCCTGAGTCCGATTTTGTTCATGTCGCTCAGCTCCTCCTCTTCGAGAGCCGGGGTGAGTCACCAGCTGGAGTTCAGGGGACGCGGGATCGTGTCCCACCCGCTGCCCTGTCACCTCTCCACCCGCGCCCCGCCACCTCTCCACCCGCGCCCCGCCTCACCGGGTGCCACGAGGCGCTGGAGTGGAGAGCCCGCGGCCACTCCCCCGCGCGGACCCGCGATCTTCATCCCGGTTCTGGGATGAAGAACCCACCGCAGAGTGGGGCAGTGGTAAGGGCTGGGAGGCACGGAAGCCAGAGCGAGGGCACGGGCTGCCTCTCCCCGGGGAGGGGGGCATCAGTCCCTCACGGGGGAAGGGGAAGGGCCGCGAAGGAGCGGGAGCGCGCGGAGCGAATGCCCAGAATCGGAGCCACAACACACCTGGGTTTCTTCTGCCGCTTCGACTTCTCCTCCCTCCTCGGAATCTCCTTTTCCCTCTTTGGGGCTGCTGTCCGCTCCTGGAAGGAGGCCCTCTCGTCGCGCTTTCTCCTGCCCTCGCAGGTCCTCTCTGCCTCGCCCCGCTCCTGCTCCCCCAGCTCTTCTCTGTGTCTCCTGCGCCCTGTTTGCTTCCTCCGGGGAGACCCCGGGCTTGGGCTGCCCCCGGCGCGCTCCTTCTGGCTTCGCTGAGCTCCGCGCCTGCCTGGGGTCCCCTCGGCTTTGAGAGCCCGCTTGCTTGAGGATCTCCTTCCCAGCCTGTCACCTGCCGGGGCGGGAAAATGGACAGTTCTGGTTCCAACGGCCTCAGGCCCAGGAAAATGTCCCCGGCCGTGAGAAATCAGACGTCCAAGATGATTCCGAGAGCTTGTGAGCTCTGCGGGGCTCAGAACAGGACACCCCAAAGTATGGCACCTTGGCATGTTGAGTATTTTAAGCTGAAGGAAACTAAGAAAACTGCAGAAGCAGGAAGGTCACTCTCTGGCCTTCTCCCTCCCGTCTCCCTTGAAGACCTCCTGTGACAGGTGTCCTGCCCTATACCCAAGGAAAGGAAAGTCACACAGAGAGGCCAAGAGGAATCGGAACAAACAGGCCTTGCTACTTCCCCCTGGTTGATTACCATGACATCATACCCTTTTGTCCTCCGATCATACTTCTGCACAACTCTCCATAAAAATACAGTTTTCCCTGTATATTTGGGTCTTCGTTTCTGAAGGCTCTTGTGTTCCCTAAAACTTACATTAAATAAAATTGGATGCGTTTATCTTGTTAATCTGTCTTTTGTTATTGGGGTCTCATCCACAAACCTTGCAATGGCTAAGGAAAGAAATCTCTTCTCCCTCTAGGTCCAAAGGCCACCTATTCTGAAAGCTTCTGGTCTGGGTGAGAATGACTGCCTTGGTGGGGGCGCACTTTCATCAGTTTTACCTCCAGGAGCCCTACCAAATTTTCACTGTGAGGTCAGGAGTTGGAGACCAGACTGGCCAAGGTGGTGAAACCCCATCTGTACTAAAAATACAAAAATTAGCTGGGCGTGGTGGTGCATGTCTGTAATTCCAGCTACTTGGAAGGCTAAGGCAAGAGAATCGCTTG
Source organism: Homo sapiens (assembly GCF_000001405.40). Lineage (NCBI taxonomy): Eukaryota > Metazoa > Chordata > Mammalia > Primates > Hominidae > Homo > Homo sapiens. Next base: position 2,557,628 of record NC_000020.11, on the reverse strand, counting down.
AACCCGGGAGGTGGAGGTTGCAGTGAGCTGAGATCACACCAGTGCACTCCAGCCTAAGCGACAAGAGCGAGACTCCATCTGAAGAAAACAAAATAAAATAAAAATAACTGATTAATATGTTAACAGATCTAATGGATAAAATGGACAACATGCAAGAACAGATGAGTAATGTAATCAAAGAGATTGAAACTCTAAGAAACAATAAAAAAGAAATGGTAAAAACCAAAAACACTATAATAGAAGTAAAGAACACCTTTGATGGGCTCATTAGTAGACTGGTCACAGTCAAGGAAAGAGTCAGTGGGCGGAGGATATGTCAATAGAAACTTCCCAAACTGAAAGCAAAAAGAAAAGAAATTTCAGAGATGGAACAAAATATCCCCAAACTGTGGGACAATTTCAAAAGGAGTAACATATGTGTAATGGGAATGCCAGAAGGCAAACAGAGAAAGGAACAGAAGAAATATTTGAATTAATAATTGCTAAGAATTTTCTAATATTAATGACAAACACCAAACCACACATCGAGAAAGCCCAGAGAACATCAAGCAGGATAAATGCCAAAAATCTCCACCTAGGCATATCGTATTCACACTGCAGAAAACCAAAGACAAAGATAAAATCTTGAAAAAAGCTGGAGGAAAAAACTCACCTTACCTGTTGGTATAAAGATAAGAATTACACTAGATTTTGCTCCAGAAACTGTGCAAGTTAAGAGAGTAGAGTGATATATTTAAAGTGCTGACGGAAAAAAAAAAAAGGACAGAATTCTGTATCCATCAAAAGTATTCTTCAAAAGTGAGGAAGATAGACTTTCTCAGACAAACAAAAACGGAGATAATTTGTTGTCAGTAGACCTGCCTTGCAAAAAAAGTTTTATTTTATTTTCATTTAGAAACAGGGACTCTGTTGCCTAGGCTGGAGTGCAGTGGTGCCATCATAGCTCACTATAACCTTGCACTGCTGGGCTCAAGTGATCCTCCTGCCTCAGCCTCCCAGCTAATTAAAAAACAATTTTTTTTTAAAGATGGAGTATCACTATCTTGCCCAGGCTGATCTCAAACTCCTGGCCTCAAGAGATTCTCCTGCCTTAGGCTACCAAAGTGCTGGGATTATAGGCATGAGCCACCCTGTCCAGCCCCTCAAAATGTTAAAGGAGGTTCTTCAGAGGGAAGGAAAACGACATAGGTCAGAAACTTGGATTTACATAAAGGAAGAGCATTCAAGAAGCAATAAATAAAGAAAAAATAGGCCAAACCTGGTGGCTCACGCCTGTAATCCCAGCACTTTGGGAGGCTGAGGTGGGTGGATCATGAAGTCAGGAGTTCGAGACCAGCCTGGCCAACATGGTGAAACCCCGTCTCTATTAAAAATTAGCCAGGCATGATGGCACGTGCCTGTAATCCCAGCTACTGGGAAGGCTGAGGCAGGAGAATCACTTGACGCTAGGAGGTGGAGGTTGCAGTGAGACGAGATCGCACCACTGCACTCCAGCCTGGGTGACAGAGCAAGGCTCCGTCTCAAAAAAAATAAAAATAAAAAATAAAAAATAAAATCCTTCTTTTTAAATTCCTAACTGACCTAAAAGATAAGGGTTTGTTTAGGATAACAATAGCAACAATATGTTGGATAATCATAGCTTATGGATAAGCTAAATGAATTACAGCAATGTCAAAGAGATGGGAGGGAGACATTGGGAATACCCTTTTATAAAGTACCTGCGCTACCCATGAAGAGATATAGTGTTATTTAAAAGTGGACTTGAATTAGTTAGAAATGCAAATTCTAGAACAAACCTTTTTTAAAAAGTAAAAAGGAAGCAAAATTAATATGCTAACAAAGGAGATAAACTGGAATCATATTAAATGCTCAATCAAAACTGCAGAAGGCAGAAAAAGAGTGGAAGATAAAAATAGGAACAAAGAACAAGGACATCAAAGAGAAACCAGCAACAAATATGGTAAACATTAACCCAACTATATCAATAATCATTTTATGTATAAATAATCTCAGTACACCAACTAAAGAAAGGGATTGTCAGAGAATGGATCAAAAACCAAGACCCAAGTATATGCTGTCTATAAGAATCCCACTTTAAATATAAACAGACTTATAGATTAAAAGTAAAGGGCAGAGAAAGATAATCGTGTTAACCCTGATTATAAAAAAAAAAGCTTGAGCAATTGTATTAATTTCAGACAAAGCAGATTTCAGAGCAAGTAAAATTATCGGGGATAAAGAAGGGCAAGACCAGGTGTGGTGGCTCATGCCTGTAATCCCAGCACTTTGGGAGGCTGAGGTGGGTGGATCACCTGAGGTCAGGTGTTCGAGACCAGCGTGGCCAACATGGTGAAACCCCATCTCTACTAAAAATACAAAAATTAGCTGGGCATCGTGGCGCATGCCTGTAATCTCAGCTACTTTGGAGGCTGAGGCAGGAGAATGGCTTGAACCCAGGAGGGTGAGGTTGTAGTGAGGAGAGATGGCACCATTGCACTCCAGCCTGGGCGACAGAGTGAGACTCCATCTCAAAAAACAAAACAAAAACATAAAAAAACTGCAAGGAGAAATAGACCAATTCACTACTATAGTTGGAGACTTTAATATTCCTCTATCAACCACTGACAGAGCCAGCAGGCAGAAAATAGTAAGGACATAGTTGAACTGAATAGCACTATTAATCAATTGGATTAAATTAATATGTATAGAATATATCATCCAACAACAACAGATCCTTCTCAAGCTCATATGGAACATTCACCAAAATAGACCATATGCTGGACCATAAAACACACCTTAACAAATTTAAGACAATAGATATCATACAATATACTCTCTCAGATCATAATGGAATTAGACTAGAAATCTCTAACAGAAAGATAGCTGGAAAATACCAAAATATTTGGAGATAAAACAGCCCACTTCTAAATAACACATAGGTTAAAGAAGCCTCAAGAGAATGAAAAAATATTTTGGACTACATTTAAATGAAAATACAACTGGTCAAAATTTATGGGATGCAGCAAAAGCAGTGCTTAGAAAGAAACTCATAGCATTGAATGTATCTATTAGAAAAGAAGATCTAAAATCAATAAGCCAAGCTTCTACTGTAGAAAACTAAAAAAGAACAAATTAAATCCAAAGTAAGCAGAATAAAAAGAATAATAAAAATTAGAGCAGAAATCAATGAAATTGAACACAAGAAAACGATGGAGAGAAGCATGAAATCATAGAGAGGTTCTTTGAAAAGATTGATAATATTGATGACCCTCTAGCCAGGCTAACCAAGAACAAAGGTGAGAAAACATACATTATTTATCGATTTATTTTTGAGACAGGGTGTTGCTCCGTTGCCCAGGCTGGAGACATAAATTATTAATATCAGAAATAAAAGAGGGATCGTCACCATTTATCTCAAGGACATTAAAAAGATAATAAAGGAGGCTGGGCACGTTGGCTCATGCTGTAATCCCAGCACTTTGGGAGGCTGAGGCAGATGGATCACCTGAGGTCAGGAGTTCGAGACCAGCCTGGCCAACATGGTGAAACCCCCATCTCCACTAAAAATACAAAAAAATTAGCCGGGTATGGTGGCGGGTGCCTGTAATCCCAGCTACTCGGGAGGCTGAGGCAGGAGAATCACTTGAACCCAGGAGGCAGAGGTTGCAGTGAGCTGAGATGGTGCCATTGTACTCCAGCCTGGGCAACAAGAGCAAAGCTCCGTCTCAAAAAACAAAACAAAACAAAAGGATAATAAAGGAGTATTGCAGACAACTTGATGCTGATAAATTTGCTGGCCCAGAAGAACTCGACAAATTCCTGGAAAAACACAATCTACCAAAACTCACACAAAGCGAAATAAGTAATCTGAATAGGCCTATATTTATTAAAGAAATTGTCTCGGCAATTAATAACCTTTTAAATAGAAAACACCAGGCCTGGATGATTTCACTGGTGATTTTGTCAAATGTTTAAAGAAGAAATAATACAATTTCTTTAGCATTTCTTCCAGAAAATAGAAGCAAACGGAACACTTCCTAACTCATTTCATGACGCCAGCATTCCTCTAGCACAAAAACCAGACAAAAACAGACCTGTATCTCTTATAAACATAGATACAAAAATCCTTAATAAAATAGAAAATTGAATTCAAGAACATATAAAAAGAGTTGTATACCAAGGCCAAATGGGATTTAGTCCAGGTATGCAAGACTGGCTCAACATTAGAAAATCAATTGATGTAATCCATCTTATCAACAGCTAATGAAAAACAATCACAGGATCATATCAATAGATGCAGAGAAAACATTAAAAAAATACAACACCCATTCATGATTAAAAAAGTTCTCAGCAAACTAGGGGATAATTCCTCAACCTGATGAAGAATTGCTACAAAACCCCTACAACTAACATCATACTTAGTGGTGAGAAACTAGATACTTTCCCCTCAAGACTGGGAACAAGACAAGGATGTCTCCTGTCACCTGTTCAGCACTGTGTTGGAAGTCCTAGATAATGCAGTAAGATAATAAAAGGATATTAACAGTAGACTAAATGGGAACAAAAAAATAAAACTGTCTTTGTTCACAGATAGTATAATTGTCTATGTAGAAAATCTCAAAGAATTGACAAAAACAAAACAAAATAAACCACAAGAACCTCCTAGAACCAATAAGCCATTTTGTAACAATGATGCAGGATGCAAGGTTAGTATGCAAAAGTCAATTACTCCTATACGCCAGCAATGAACAACTGAAATTTAAAGTTAAAATCACAACTCCATTTATATTAGAACTAAAAAAATGAAATACTTGGCAGGTCACGGTGGCTCATGCCTATAATCCCAGCACTTTGGGAGGTCAAGGTAGGTGGATCAGTTGAGGTCCGGAGTTCCAGACCAGCCTGGCCAACATGGTAAAACCCCGTCTCTACTAAAAATACAAAAATTAGCTGGGCATGGTGGCACGAGTCTGTATTCCCAGCTACGTCAGAGACTGAAGTGGGAAGATCCCTTGAACTCGTGAGGTGGACATTGCAGTGAGCCGAGATTGTGCCACTGCACTCCAGCATGGGTGACAGAACTCTGTCTCAAAAACAAACAAACAAATAAATGAAACTTATATATAAATCTAACAAAATATGTGTAAGAGCTATATGAAGAAGACTACAAAATTCTGATGAAAGAACTCAAAGAACTCAAAGACTTAAATAAATGAATGTTCCTTGGAACAAACATGGAACATTCAACATTATTAAAATGTAAGTTCTTCCCAGCTTTGTCTATAGAGTTAATGCGATTTCAATCAAAATCCCAGCAAATTATTCTGTGGATATTGATAAACTGATTCTAAAGTGTTTGTTTGTTTGTTTAGAGACAGGGTCTCATTCTGTTGCTCAGGCTGGAGTGCAATGGCACGAATATAGCTCACTGCAGCCTTGAACTCCTGCTCTCAAGCAATCCTCCCACCTCAGCCTCCCAAGTAGGGGGGACTACAGGTGCACACTAACCATGCCCAGCTAATTTTATAATTTTTTTTTTTTGTAGAGTCTCTGTATTGCCTGAGTTGTTCTCAAAGCCCTGGGATCAAACAATCCTCCCAGTTTGGCTTCACAAAGTGCTGGGATTATAGGCGTGAGCTACTGCACCCAGCCCTGATTCTAAAGTTTATATGGAAAGGCAAAAGACCCAGAATATCCAGCACAATCCACATCAAGACTCTAAAGCTCTACTTCATACACATCAACACTATAAAGGTACAGTAATCAAGATGGTGTGATACTGGTGAAAGAGAATTAGATCAATGGGATGGAATAGAGAGCTCAGAAATAGACCCACACAAATATAGCCAACCTTTGACGATGGAGAAAGGATAGTTTTTTTCAACAAATTGTGCTGGAACAACTGGGCACCCATAGGCCAAAACCAAAAATCTAGATACAGACCTTATGCCTTTCACAAAAATTAACTCCAAATGGATCATAAACCTAAATGTAAAACACAAAGCTATAAAACTGTAAAAGATAACAAAGGAGAAAACTGCAATGGCCTTCAATTTAGCAATGACTTTTAAAATACCACAGCATAAATGAAAACAAAAATAAAAACAAAGAATAAAATACGATACCAAAAGCATGATCCATTAAAGAGAAAAATTGATGTTTTAATTCATTAAAACTAAAAACTTCTGCTCTGCAAAAGACACTGTGAAGAGAATTAAAAAAAAAAACCCACAAACTAGTAGAAAATATTTGCAAAACATGTATCTGACAAAGGACGTGTATCCAAAATACACACATGAAAACTCAAGAATAAGAAAACAAACAATTAAAAAATGGAAAAAAGATCTGAGCAGACATCTCACCAAAGAAAGTATACAGATGGTAAATAGGCATATGAAAAGATGCTCAACATGGTATGTCATTAGGGAACTGTGAATTAAAACATCAATGAAATACTATTACATGCTTATTGGCAACACAAAATGCTATAAAAAAATGTAGAACAACAGGAATGCTCATTTATTGCTAGTGAGGATGCAAAATGGTACAGCTACTTTGGAAAACAGTATGGCAGTTTCTTACAAAACTAAACATAGATTGACCATAAAATCCAGCATTTGCACTCCGAGGTGTTAACCCAAATGAGTTGAAAATTTATGTCCCAAAACAAAAGCCTGCACACAAATATTTACGGCCACCTTATTCATAATTATCAAAACTTGGAAGCAACTAAGATGTCCTTCAATAGGTGAATGCATAAACAAACTGCGGTAATAAATACAATGGAATATTACTCAGTGATGAAATGAACTTTCAAGCGATGAAAAGACATGAGGGAAACTTAAATGCATATTTCTAAGTGAAAGAAGGCAATATGAAAAGGTTATATGCTGTATGATTGTAACTATACAGCATTCTGGAGAAAGAGACACTCTAGAGACAGCGGAAAAAATGATCAGTGGTTGCTGAGGGTTCAGTGGGAGGGAGAGAGGGTTGAATAGGTGGGCCACAGGACATTTGGGGGCATATTATTCTGTGTCATACTGTGATGATGGATACATGATATATTATGCATTTGTCAAAACCTATGGAATCTATAAAGAGTGAACTCTAGTGTAAAATATGCACTTTAGTTAATAATGTATCCGTATTGGCCCATCAGTTGTAACAAACGCAGCACACCCAATGCGACATGCTAGGAGAAACATTCGGTGAGGGGAGGAAAGAAGGTTATACGTGGAAACTCTATGTAAGTTTTTTATTTTAATTTTTATTTTTTTGAGACAGGGTCTTGTTCTGTCGCCCAGGTTGGAGTGCAGTGGCACAATCTCAGCACACTACAGCCTCTGCCTCCCACGCTCAAGTGATCCTCCCTCCTCAGCCTGCCGAGTGGCTGGAACTATAGGCATGCGTCACTGCATGGAGCTAATTTTTTTTTTTTTTTGAGACAGAGTCTGGCTCTGTTGCCCAGGCTGGAGTGCAGTCTGGTGTGATCTCGGCTCACTGCATCCTCCGCTTCCAGGGTTCAAGTGATTCTCTTGCCTCAGCCACCTGAGTAGCTGGGATTATAGGTGCGCACCACTATGCCCAACTAATTTTTGTATTTTTAGTAGAGACGGGGTTTTACCATGTTGGCCAGGCTGGTCTCCAACTGCTGACCTCAGGTGACCTGTGCAACTCGTCCTCCCAAAGTGTTGGAATTACAGGCGTGAGCCACTGCACACAGCCAAAACTCTGTAATTTCGGCAAAATTTTTCTCCAATCCTAAAACTGCTCTAAAAAATGAAGTCTGTTTTTAAAAAATGAAATGATTGCTGAATGAGATGCTCTGAGGAAACTCTCAAGGAGAAGTTTTTCTGAAGATAAAGGAGTTGCAAACTTCAGAAGGATAGGAAAAATATTTTTCCTATTTGGCTGGAGGGCAGTGGCGTGCTCTCGGCTCACTGCAACATCTGCCCCCCAAATTCAAGGGATTCTTCTGCCTCAGCCTCTTGAGTAGCTGGGATTACAGGCACACGCCACCATGCCTGGCTAATTTTTGTATTTTCAGTAGAGACAGGGTTTCACCGTGTTGGCCAGGCTGGTCTCAAACTCCTGACCTCAAGTGATCCGCCCGCCTTGGCCTCCCAAAGTGCTGGGATTACAGACGTAAGCAACCATGCCTGGCTGGAAAAATATTTTTTAAAAAAGTCAAAAAATCATCAACAACAACAACGATGACGACAAAATAAAAGAGCTCATTTAATTGGCTGAATTAAGATATTAAGTGCTTAGGCTGGGCACGGTGGCTCGTGCCTATAATCCCAGCACTTTGGGAGGCTGAGGAGGGAGAATAATTTGAACCTAGGAATTCAGGACCATCCTGGGCAACACAGCGAGATCCTGGCTGTACAAAAAAACTAAAAATTTAGCCAGGATAGTGGTAAGTGCCGATAGTACTAGCTACTTGGGAGGCTGAGAGAGTGGGATTACCCAAGTGAGCTGTGATGGCACCAGTGCACTCCAGCCTGGGTAACAGAGCAAGACCCTGTTTCTAAACAAATACAAAACCAAAAAACCAAAAAACACAAATAAATTTTAAAAATCCCAGAAATTAGGTAAAAATTTGGCAAATGAACTAATTTATTATGTTTAATTTCATAAAAACAGCTATGCCTTCTTTGGTTTTTCAGCATTAAGTAAAAGACTAGCTTACGTTTTTATTCTACTTGAGTATGTTGTTTCTAGACTTATATAGGTTCCTTGATCAAATATATTAGCATTACTTCTATTTGATGTTGAAGGTTACAAAATACCTAAATTTGTGCTTAACTAAAATGATTCATTACTCTGAACATTTTTGTGAACAGTAATTATATTTTGTAGTATGCCAGCTTGGAAATTAATTCCCAAGATTTTTAGGTATTATAAAGCCTTGAACTGGTATTGAGTTTATGGATATTGATTAGATGCCTAACTAATTTCTTTCTTTTTCTTTCTTTTTTTTTTTTGAGATGGAGTTTCGCTCTTGTTTCCCAGGCTGGAGTGCAATGGTGCTATCTTGGCTCACTGCAACCTCCGCCTCCTGGGTTCAAGCAATTCTCCTGCCTCAGCCTCCCGAGTAGCTGGGATTACAGGCATGCTCCACCACACCCAGCTAATTTTCTATTTTTAGTAGAGACGGGGTTTCTCCATGTTGGTCAGCCTCGTCTCGAACCCCCGATCTCGGGTGATCCGCCTGCCTTGGCCTCCCAAAGTGCTGGGATTAGAGGCATGAGCCACCACACCTGGCCACTAATTTCTAAGTAAGAAAGGATTCTGAAACATTGATTACTAAACATAATTTTAAGTTTATTTACTTTTGCTTCTTTTTTTAAAACATGCCACAGAGAAGTTATATGTTTGGGCCTGTTAACACACATGTTCATATCTGCCCTTTTGAGAAGCTGTATACAAGATGTGTGTGTTTGTCGAAAGTTGTGTTGTGTACATTCAGGAGCTCTGCTAGTCTAAAATGCTGATGTGTGACAGTTGACAATTATCCATCCTACCAGTTTGTTCTGTGAAACAGAAGATCCTTTGGTTAAAAGTTATAATTAAATGATACTCTATTATGATCAGTCTTGATAGAGAGGTACAACTTTGCATGCAAAGTAATAAAACGTGTTTTTGTTAAGAAAAAAAGAATAGTTTTGTCCTAAAGTAAAATGCCTAGTTGTTCCAGAATGGTAAAGAGAACAGTGAAGGACAAAACCTGAATGGAAATAGAAAATAGCAGAAAGTTTGCAGAAAAGAAATTTTATTTAAGATAATAAAGGTTCTTCACTTATGAAAGAGTTAAGGTTCTTAGTGGGTGATCACCTTACCTTCTAAGCTTGTTTTTAAATATTTTAAATGTTTTATTGCCACTTTCAAATGAGTAGCCAAATGTTATTCCTGTGTTCAACTCTCCAGACAATTTTGTTTGTTTTTAAGATTGACTCTCAAATGAAGTTAAATACCTTTCAGAATACCTTTTTACCTAAGACTACCTTTGAGATTTCCCAGAGGGCTCCTAGAAGGCCACAGAGACTTGTTCTTTCACCTTATTTAAAATACAGGTGCCAGAAACAATTAGGATTATTTGATACATTGTTGTTAGGGTTTTGGGGGAAGCTTGTCAAATCAGAAGAGATGTTTAGCCTTCTCTAGGTTAACTTGTGTAGGTAAAATGTTCAAACATTTCAGCAATTATGTGTTCTATATCCAGAGATTTGTTAATTCCTCCATTGTCTATGGTCTGTTTCCTTTTGTTAGAGTCCTGGTGGTGCTCTGCCTGATGTTAGACAACAGTAGAATTATCAGTTATAATTCAGTTATCATTTAAAATGTTTATTTGGACACAATGTTTCCTCTTTAATTTGAATCTAGCCTCCTTCAGGCCAGTGCTTTTCTATTGGAGATGAACATCAGACATATCTATGGACTTTTATTAAAATGTAGATGTTTAGGACCTATTCCATACTTACTGAATCTTTTTACTTGATATTCTTCATATAGTCTTGATATATTTTTCTTATATGTTTGATATTTTCTTGGTATGTCATGTACATTATGTTTTTAGATAATTATATGTTATACTTCAAGATTTTTTCTCTGTAAAAATTATGGTTATCCACCTTTATAAATTAGATATAGTGTACATTATCTATTAAAACATGCTTAATCATTATAGACATTTTGACCAAAGCTTTTAGAATGCCTTCATTGCTTCTTTTGCATGCTGTGGAAGCATCCAAATTTTCCATCAGTTTCATTGTCATGAAATGTTTCACTTTTGAAAGTTTTCAGTAATAAGTTACCCTCAACCAGTTTAAGTCTGTGTCACCTACAGATACTATTTGTTTTGCCCCCAAAGCTTCCTTAAACTCTCCAGAGTTTTTGTCTTCAACAAAGAACTATTTTAGAACCCCAGTTGGAAGGACTCCATTAGGTAATGACTAACATGCTGGTGAAACTCTTAAAGAGTTGATCATGTCCTTCAACTCAAGAGACATACACCATCCTAAAATTACTAGAAAACCATTCCTATTGGTGACCTCAAGCTAAAGATTCTTAGGAGACCTCCCAAAGCAGACAGCCTCAGATGTAGACAGCTTATGCCCAAGATCTACAGCTTATGCCCAACTCTGCAGGTTACTACTCTATAATCAATATTCTTCTCTTTCCTATTCTTTTACCTGCCTCCTATCCTCTCCCTGACTTAAGGCTACTTTAGTTATGTAAATTATAAGACTTCTATTTTTAATATTTCTATTTACATCCTTAATCATTCCTTGGTATGAGTTTCGTACCCAGCTACAATTAACCCATGAACTGTCTAGGGTGCACATTTTTCTTCAGGAGCTACCCAGTTTCATTCGGTTCCAGTTCCTTTTAAGAAATCAGTTGGTTTCCTGGGTAACTGAACTCAACCATTGGATGACTTTTTAGATGGCAACTCCACAATAGGTCAGGTGGGGAGAAATCCAAAACCTTCATCATGTCCTAGAAGGGCCCTGCCTCCATAAAACACTACTTGGGGACCTTTTGTGAGAGCTAGTCTTTGTGATCAGACTTTCACTGACAGAATTATAAGCGGATTGGGGAACAAGTGGTATATTTTTGGAGACTATCTGCTTTCAAAGATCTTACAAGTAAGACATTAGTTTTATTTTTTCCTCCCTTTCTTTTCTTTCTTTCTTTCTTTCATTTCTTTCTTTTTTTCTTTCTTTCTTTCATTTCTTTCTTTTTCTTTCTTTCTTTTTCTTTCTTTCTCTTTCTTTCTTTCTTTCTTTCTTTCTTTCTTCCTCTTCCTCTTCTTCTTCTTCCTTCTTCATCTTCGTCTTCTTCTTCATCTTCTTCTTCCTCGTCTTCTTCTTCCTTCATCTTCATCTTCTTCTTCCTCATCTTCTTCTTCCTTCTTCTTTCTTCTTCCTTCTTCTTTCTTCTTCTTCTTCTTTTGTTTGCTTTAGACCTACTTAGTGATCTCAAAACTACATAATTAACTGCTTGACACCAAACTATTCATGATGAATGGTACCAACAGTTTACAGCATTATTTGACAATCCCATAGGAGTATTCTGGCCAAAACCAGATGACTGAATGGCCCCCAGTGACAGATACTGGATAAGGAACAGAAGCCTCCTATTACTCACAAACTAGACAGGAACTTGTTACCTTTGTAAACTAAAACCTACTCTCAGAATTGTCTATGATATCATCTATTAATTTGTTCTCTAGGAAAACGAGGTCAGTAGATCGTTTCATTGAAGAAGGAGAAAAACTGGGCCCTGGTTTGAGAACTGAAATCCTAAGTACCCTAGGGGTATTCTAGATTTCTTTCTTCTCCCCTCAAGACACTTCTTTTCATACTTTATGTATGTATGCATGCCTTTATGTATGTATGTATTTACTTATTTTTGAGACAGAATCTTGCTCTACCACCCAGAGTGAAGTGTAGTGGAGTCATCATAACTCATTGTAGTCTCAAACTCCTGAGCTCAAGTGATCCTCCCATATCAGCCTCATGTGTAGTTAGAACTACAGGTGTGTGCCACCATGCATGTCTAATTAAATTTTTTTTTTTTTTTTTTGGTAGAGACAGGGGTCTCATTATATTGCCCAGGCTGCTCTTGAACTCCTGGCCTCAAGTGATCCTCCTGCCTCTGCCTCTTGAATAGCTAGGACTACAAGTATGCGCCACCATGCCTGGCTAATTTTTAAATTTTTTTGTAGAGATGGAGTCTTGCAGTGTTGTCCAGACTGGCCTTGAACTCCTGGCCTCATGTGATCTTCCCACCTTGGCCTCCCAAAGTGCTGGGATTACAGGTGTGAACCACTGCACCCAGCCTTTGTTTCATAATTTACAAGAGATCTGATTAGTAGGGTAAATGTAGCATGCTGTGGTTGAGAGAACAGCAGATGATTTAGACAATGCCAGTAAGGCCATAAAACTCCCTTGTCAAGAGGTTTATGAGATTGGGTGGGTGGTGGTCCAGAACAGAACTGCCTTAGATAGGATATTGATCTCCCAAGGTGGGGAATGTGTGCTGTTTTAGTGGAAGAATGCTGTACTTATATTCCTGCAGACCTCTCTGAAATCTTTGATATTACTAAAAAGATCTAGGAAGTAAACAAAGAAATCAGAAATTGGGTAATTTGATGAGTAACCTCATATTTGGTTACATGGACTCTAGATTCGGGATGAGATCTACTTTCTTGTTTAGTCAGGGCACTCTTAGATCCTGGCTGAGAAGTAGATTATACAAACTCTGATGACAATCCTTCTCTTAGTATTTGTCTGTGTGCCAGCATTCAGATGTGGGATCTCCAGAGTTTTAAATGCTACTGCACTGCTGCCATCATTCAAATCATCCAGCAAGGGTTATCCACTAAAAAGAACTGGAAAATCTGGCTGGGTGCGTTGGCTCATGCCTGTAATCCCAGCACTTTGGGAAGCCAAGGCAGGCAGATCACTTGAGGTCAGGAGTTCGAGACCAGCCTAACCAACATGGTGAAACCCCGTCTCTACTAAAAATACAAAAAAAAAAAAAAAAAAATCAGCTAGGCATGGTGGCGAGCGCCTGTAGTCCCAGCTACTTGGGAGGCTGAGGCATGAGAATCGCTTGAACCCAGGAGGTGGAGGTTGCAGTGAGCCAAGATCATGCCATGCACTTCAGCCTGGGTGACAGAGCGAGACTCTGTCTCAAAAAAAAAAAAAAAAACTGACATGCAGGTTGAAACAGCTGCCACCAGAAACTGGATGTGAAACAACTGTTAACAGACAATTGATATGAAATGATGACCTCTCAAATACTGGTGAATATCTAGATTGACATACTGATGGCTTTTCCTTCAGCTTGGGCTGAAGAATGACCACAAGGAGAAATTGAGAACTCAAACCATCTTCCCTCATACTGAGTCTGGACACAGAGAGCCCAGCTATACCTTAGTGTCTGTATTAAGATGACTTTGTGCTACGCCTCTGCTTCATGAGCATGTCTTTATTTTTCTAGGCATCTCCTACCCAGGCAAATGTTGATTGTTCATTACAGGATTTTCCCAAAGACCTGTCAATTCTTCAATTTGGGCTCTAAGATTCTTTGAATGCCTCACCTCAAAATCCTGGCCATGCTGTTTATTGTGGACTATTATGTTGTGATTCTCACCCAGTCTCATTCCAGCTCTCACTTTGAAAGACCTGCCTTCAATCAAATTTCCAATTCTCAGTAAGTTCCGGCCTTCCTTCCCCTCTGTAAGATACTGCCAAAGCTTTGCCTGCTATAAGCAATAGATCGGTTTTGTCTTATCAACAGGTTGTGGGGTGTTAGGGAGCCAGCTTTGGACAATAACTTAGATAAATGTGTTTTGTTTTTATTTTATTTTATTTTTGAGACAGAGTCTCACTCTGTCACCCAGGCTGGAGTGCAGTGGTAAGATCTTGGCTCACTGCAGCCTCTACCTCCCAGGTTCAAGCAGTTCTCCTGCCTCAGCCTCCTGAGTAGCTGGGATTACAGGTGTATGCCACCTTGCCTGACTAATTTTTGTATTTTTAGTAGAGACAGGGTTTCACCATGTTGGCCAGGCTGGTCTCAAACTCCTGACCTCAAGTGATTCGCCCACCTTGGCCTCCCAAAGTGCTGGGATTACAGGTGTGTGCCACCATGCCTGGCCTTGTATTTTGTTTTAAAAAGAAAAACACAAAATACTAAATACTAAGTATATTACTAAATATAATATACTAAGTATAAAATACTAAAAATATAAAAATTAGCCAAGCGTGGTAGTGCTCGCCTGTAGTCCCAGCTACTCGGGAGGCTGAGACAGGAGAATTGCTTGAACCCGGGAGGCGGAGGTTGCAGTGAGCCAAGATGTGCCACTGACTCCAGCCTGGGTGACAGAGCGAGACTCTGTCAAAAAAAAAAAAAAATTGTGGACTAAAGAGAAAAGACTGTAAAAATATAGAAAGAAAAAGGGAGTGATAAATTATGGCTGGGATTGTTGGAAATGCTTCACAAAGAACTGATGTTTATGAAGGAGACTAGAAGACGCCATCCCAAAATATGCCACTTCGGCATAAAGATTATTTCAAGCTGAAGGCAATTAGATATATGTCGCTCCTCTGCCCTTTTGGACTAAAAGCAGGACATATATTTCCATTTGGAAGGGGTCTCCCTCTCCTATACTTGGAAGATAACTACTCCAGAGACAACTCTTAGCACCTGAGAAGACTCTTACCTGCTTAACAAACCTTACTGAATAACACTTATTTACCACACGTTTCCTAGTCACCTTCCATAACTTACCCAGAAGCCCCAAAACGCTTTTCCTTTGTCAAGCTTCTTCTCCACACTCTATCACCCTTTAAGATGATATATACCTCTAAGATAGTATATAAGCCCCAAATTCTAACCACCTCCTTGAGTCATCTTCTTTGTGAACTCTCATTTGTACATATGTAATTCAATCCTTTTTTCCCCTCTTGTTGATCTGTCTTTTGTCAGTTTGATTTACAGAGCCTGTAGTCACTGAACCTAGGAAGGTAGAGGAAAAAAATTCTCCTCTCCAACATTTACTCTGAAGTTTTTTTCAAATAAGAAAATTTTTTAATCAAACATGAGACTAATGGAAAGAACTCACATATCAATATGGGGGAGGACACAAAGACCGTTAAGCAAAACTTATGAACAGGTAAGTTACTAATGGGGAAATGCAATTAGGAAACGGCGGAAAATGCAGTTTTACTAGTTATCAAAGGAAATTTAAAATAAGTCAATAATGGGATTTCCTGTCTTGTTTATAGTATTACGTTTTTAAAATTTTTTATCCAGGACTAATGAGACTTGTTAAAATGCATATTTATTACTGGTCGCAATATAAATTGTAAAGCAACTCTTTATGCAGTTTGGCAACATGTAACAAGAGCTTTAAAATACTTTCTTTTTTCTTTTCTTTTTTTTCTTTCTTTCTTTTTTTTTTTTTGGTTTTGAGACAGAGTCTTGCTCTGTCGCCCAGTCTGGAGGGCAGTGGTGCAATCTGGGCTCACTGCAACCTCAACCTCCCAGATTCAAGAGATTCTTGTGCCTCAGCCTCCCGAGCAGCTGGGATTACAGGTGTGTGCCACCACACCTGCCTAATTATTGTATTTTTAGCAGAGAAGGGGTTTTGCCATGTTGGCCAGGCTGGTCTCAAACTCCTGACCTTAATTAATCCGCCTGCCTCGGCCTCCCAAAATGCTGGGATTACAGGCGTAAGCCACCATGCCCAGCCTAAAAATACTTTCTGATCTGTTAATTCCACCTGTAGGAGTCAACCCAAGCCCAAGAATCTTCAATGCAACATTATTTCTATTATAAAAATGGGAAATAACCTAAATATTCAGTAATAGAATAATGAATTAACCTGTGATTTATCTACTATGTGGAATATTTTACAGCTCAATTAAAAATAATTACCATGAAGTCTTTAATACATACTTAGGGGCTACTCTGAATCTTGAAGGATGAACAGGAGTTTGCAAGAGAAGAAGTGGGTAGAGAAATGGAGGGGGTGATTGTGGTAGCAAGTTAGGAGGATTCCAGGCAGAGGAAACAGGGGATTGAGGGGCCCCAGCAGAAATGCCAGGGAGTCTGGGGCATAGGCGTCCAAGGCAGAGCTGCGTCCCGGGTGTGTTCTGGTGTGGGAGGCAGGAGGAGAGGGGTACACGCCCACAGGGAGCTGGGTTGAAATCTGGAGGGTAAGGGTGTGATAATGGAGCATGTTTGCTGGGGCAAGGTCTACATCAAAGGGTCACACTAGCAACATGGAAGAAGGTGATGTGGGGAGGGTGACACTGCTCTGCAGCTGCTACAAGGAAGGTCTTGTGAGCATACTGGCTGTGATTGCTTCACTTATTTTAAAGGCAAAAAGAGGCACCAAACATGGGTCTGAAGCCATCATTAATAATCTCCATGTCTTTTTTTTTTTTTTTTTGAGAGTCCCTCTCTGCCGCCCAGGCTGGAGTGCAATGGCACCATCTAGGCTCACTGCAACCTCCGCCTCCCAGGTTCAAGCGATTCTCTCACCTCTGCCTCCCAAGTAGCTAGGACTACAGGCATGCACCACCAAGCCTGGCTAATTTTTGTATTTTTAGTAGAGACAGGGTTTCACCATGTTGACCAGGCTAGTCTTGAACTATTGACCTTAAGTGATCTCCCCACCTCAGCCTCCCAAAGTGCTGGGATTACAGTCATGAGCCACTGTGCCCGGCCATGTCCATGTCTTTGAGACTCGGTTTTAAATGCTGAGGTTTCTGCCAGGACTGATGAGATAACTGGCATAGGTGCATTGAAAAGTCTTGCGGCCAGGCACGGAGGCTCACACCTGTAATCCCAGCACTTTGGGAGGCTGAGGCGGGTGGATCACGAGGTATGAGTTTGAGACCAGCCTGGCCAAGATGGTGAAACCCGGTCTCTACTAAAAATACAAAAAATTAGCTGGGCGTGGTGGCAGGCACCTGTAATCCCAGCTACCTGGGAGGCTGAGGCAGGAGAATCACTTGAACTTGGGAGGCAGAGGTTGCAGTGAGCTGAGATCACATCACTGTACTCTAGCCTGGGCAACAGAGCAAGACTCCATCTCAAAAAAAAAAAAAAAAAAGAAAAGAAAAGAAAAGAATAGTCTTGTGTGCTATTTGCGGGAGTGAGCTAAGAGAACCTGTCCTGTATTTATCATAGAGCAGGTTTCCTTAGCCCACTCCTGCCCCAACCTCTTTCTTCTTCTCACTCCCTGTGGAAAAATAGTCTTTGATAAGACAACGTAAAGAAAGACTATTTTTGCATAATTTATCCAGGGTAGGAAGCTAGTCAGTGTTAGCCAGTGAGGTATGATTTGTCTTACAAATGCTCCAGCGCAATGCTCTGGAAGGCAGTAGCCCCCTGTTGCAAAAGGGACGGAGCAAAACAAATATTATCACAGCCATGACCCCTAAGAGAGCTCTAGGACTGAGTTCAGTGCTCAGAAAGGGCAGAGAAGCAGAGATCAAGGCAAGGGATCATGGAGAAGGGTTCCCTGGGGTCCCATAAAGATCAGCTCTATGTTGCTTGAAAGGACTGAATAGGAACGTCATTGTTTGCATCCTCTTCTGAGCTCTCTCTGTGTCCTCAGTCAGCTAATACAATGGTTTTCATTGTGGTAATGAACTGTACCAAGCATACTTCCCAGCACTGTAGATATAATTTGGTGTTACAATTTTTTTTCTGAGCTGTAATTCCTGCTGTAATTTAGTTCTCCAACTGAACGAAATTCACATGGAATGTGGAAAACAAGCCAGAATTTGCCCTTCAATCTTCCCCAGACCTCTTCAACACAGAAAATAAGCTGTTTTTTTCTCTTTCATAATCAGTTTTCAACAGACTCCACATAATGCATAATTTAGGAACTGGAAAGGCAGCTGTCTTGCTAGGAAGGCCTCCAAGCCCAGCACACGCTCTCCTAAATGTAACAGGCCTCCTCCTATGTAGCACCTGACTCGGTCAGAGAATTCACAGTGCAAAACACAGGCCGAGGAGAGGCTGCGGCAGCCCTCCAGTCCCGTGATCTCAACAGTTCAGTGCACTTACCAAATGATACAGGAGGAGGGAGAGTTCTCATCCTTCTTTTCAAGGAACACAGTAACAAACTGTAGCTATTCTGAGAAAAGAACATTGTATTCTTAAACTTTTATTCCCTCCTGGTAGAGTATAAAGGGAAGGATGAGAATATCAGGTCCCGTCGCAGGTGACTCCAGAGGAGATTTAAAATGGAAACCTTCATGGGGCTGGGTTTCAGTTAATTCAATATATTCCCAATGTTTAACTTTACTGCACCCCTTCACCACTTAGATCTGTGAAGTGAAAATTCTGACCAATTTCCTGTGTTCTATGGGAAAGGGAAAACGGCAGCGGCAACGTGGAATATTTCAGTAGGAAAGGGTTTGTGTTGTAGGCAAAATGGTCTTCCATTTCAGTCCTACTAAGGACTACTGCTCACAGGGGAGTCCCGCACAGCACAGCCCTGCAGCAGAGGCAGAGGGAGGCCAGGCTGGGTGCGGAAGGGACGGCATCTGGATGACTACGAGGGGAGTGGGGTGTGGAGAACCAGCCTGAGCATCCTACAGGCAGTGGTCACTACGGGAGCACCGTGGCCCGACCCCCGGGAGGAAGGTTTCTCGTCTGGCCACCCTGGGGCATAGAACTTTCTCACATTTGCTCCTTCATCTTTGGATTGAGATAAAGAGTGGATGAGGCAGGCAGGTGGGGTAGGAAGAAGGGACAGTGGCTGAGGCAAGTTCCGGGATAGGGGCCAGGAAGGGCTGTTGAGATGCCATGGCTGCACCCCCTGCCAGCCTCTGCCCAGCTCTTCCTTGCCTCCTGCTCCTGGGTCTCTCCCCTTGTAACACAGCGGCCTCACTGAAGCTCAGGCTCCCGACAACCAGACAGCAGCGGGTCACAGGAGCGGAAAGGGCAGATGAAGTGGCTCCTGGGGCCAGCTCCCTACTGGCCAGAGTGGGGCCAGGACAGGGCCCTCCCACAGGAGGGAGTGGAAAGGGCCCTCCCTCCCAGAATGGGGGAGGAAGGAGATCTCTTCCAACCCCCCAGAACCCCATCACTCCCCAAGATTCTGGTTTCTTGCCTACTAGTGTGGGGCGCAGGACCCAGCCCTGCCTGGGACGTGAAGGGGGAGAAAACAGCATCGCATCCATAATATTTTGTGACATGAAGATGCCCAGCCTGTGAGTGTGGCTTCTGCCCCTCTCCCCTGAACCCTCAGTCTCAACCAAGGGTTTTCTCTCCCGCCTATGGCTTCCTTGGGCTCTCCCACTTCTCCTGGAGCAAGTTGGCTCCCTCACCGGCTCACGGGAGAGCTGTGGTCACATTCCCAGTGGGAAGGTGATGGAGCACCCATTATGCCTACTACTTTTTGGAGGTTAAGAGTGTTCCTCCTAGAGTCCGGGGGCCTGGATGTGAATCTGGCCACACCACCCGCCAGAAGCCTGCACCGAGCTTCCCTGCCCTCTGTCTGGTGAATGTTCACTGCTTCCCAAGGCTCAGCTCAGAGTGTCACTAACCCTGGGAGTCTCCCCTGACACCGAGGGCTGAGCAGCACCTTCTCTGAGTGGTACTCTGCCCCCTCCCATGTTAAACACCTTGCCTCCCAGGAAGGCTCCATGCAGGGTGTTGAATGAGAGGGAAGGAGATGAAGGAGAATGTTGGATGGGTGGCTGGACTGTTGGGCTAAGCAGAGGGCACCCAGGCACTGCAGGCTCCCCAGAGACCCCACCACCCCATCTCACCTGTGTGTGGAGAGCCGCTCTTCACCCGCCCTTTCACTCCGCCTCGTGCTGTAAGAGACAGGATTGCTGACAAATGGCTGGCCTCTGGTGAGTCCCCCTCCCTGCAGACCCCCGGTCACTGTGGGACCCCTCAGCTGATTTGTGGCTGCCTCAAACTGGGACCCAGCTCCAATGATTTTACTCAGCAAATTATAGAGTCCCCTGCCTGTCACATTTGTCTGATACTGTCAGTCATGAGGTCAGAACATCCCCCACCCCCTGCCCTGCACAGAGACAGAGACAGATAGAAATCTGCTGAGGGGCTTGCTCGGAACAGGCAACCCTAACCGAGACAATAGGTGGCTGAGACGCCCCAGCAGGCTCTGAGGAGCATGCATCGGCCGTGACAGTCTCCAGTGCTGGCCTGAACACAGGTGCTGTGCACAGGTTGTCTTGAATCCTTCCAGTAGCCCTGCAAGGAGGTGATGACTACCCCCATCTCATGCGTGAGGATCAGAGAGGTTGAATAACCAGCCGAGGTCGCTCAGCGCACAGGGGACAGGCCCTGGACTCAAACCCAGCTCCTCCCTATGCCTCTGAACACCATATGTGCTTCCCCCATCCCCTGCTGCTGCCCAGGAACCCTGTGGGCGGGCCCCGCAGGATCAGGACGTGGACTCACCTTCCTCTTTCAGGCCCTTTACCTGGTGGCTCATGGTCAGCAGCACTGCTGGGGTCCTGCACAGGCTCACGCAGCGTGCTCCTGTATGCACGCCTTCAGCCTGGGCTGCTTTCCTGCCCTCATGGTGGCTGGCCTCCCTTCCTAGACCTGACAGCAGGCGGGGCTTCTTGGTTTGAGATTGAATGTGGAGGTGGGTGAAGTTTGGGGGAGAGAGACGGGTGAAGGAAGGCGACGAGTTCCCGGCCCATCAATCCGGCCACACACTCCTCTTCTCAGGTTTCCCTGCAAAGAGGCAGCATGGCCTCATGTTTCAGGCATCAGTTATACATGAGGGGCCCTGGAGGGGCCAGGAGCTGCAGGCTTATCTCCTGGCAATGATGCCGCTGGCACTCTAGCCAGAGGAGGTGTGAGGAGCATCCCAGGCCCTCTCCCACTATCTTGAGTCCCTGATTGGGACAAAGCACCAGGGAAATTCTAGAATGTTTGTTTAAGTTATTACTTGGGCTTCTGTTTAAAATGCAGATTCTGGCATGTGGTGGTTCACACCTGTAATCTCAGCACTTAGGAAGGCAGAGGCAGGAGGATTGCTTGAGCCCAAGAGCTCAAGACCAGCCTGTGCAACGTAGTGAGACCCCATCTCCACAAAAAGAAAAATAATAATAATAAATTTTTAAAAATAAAATGCATACTCCCAGGAGTGGCACTGGGCGTTGGAATCAGTCAGTCTGTGCCAGGCCCTGGGAGCCTGCACTGTGGATCCTGCTGCAGGCGTCCTGAGCCCACACAGATGAATGTTCCCGCTCAGCCCCCGCCCCCTCCCTCAGCAGCTTTTCCTCCCTGGCTTCAGGGAGGCACAGATTTGGCTGCTTTGAAAACCATCACTAAAGTGTCAGAGGGACCCTCTGGAAGGCAGTCATAAGGTCTCAGAGTGTGGAGTTCTTAATCTGGAGTCCCTGGAACCCCCAGAGCTGTGGATGGAATTCTGTGGGTTTGTGAATAGTGATGGAGAAAATACTACACTTTCACTTTTCCTAGCCTTAACTGCGATTTAGCATTTCCCTCAATCATGAATGTAAGCAAAGATGTGATTTTTGTCTCAGCAAAAGTCACAGTTATTTTTTTTCCCAATTAAACCACTGGGGATGTCTCAAAATATCTTACATGTTATCACAACTTCAAAATTATGATAGTTAGAGACCTGCCATGAAATCTTGTTATTTAATTAGGAAGCATATATTGTCATTATATGAAAGATATTTAAAGTGATTTTGATGCCTATTTCAGGATCATTGGTCTCCTTTGTAATCCTAGTGTTTTATTTTATGGATTTAATGTCTATGTTCTGAAAAGCGGTCTGTGGCTGGGCGTGGTGGTTCACGCCTGTAATCCCAGAATTTTGGGAGGCCAAGGCAGACGGATCACCTAGGGTTGGGAGTTCCGGACCAGTCTGGCCAACATGGTGAAACCCCATCTCTACTAAAAATGCAAAAATTAGCCGGGCGTGGTGGGATGTGTCTGTAGTCCCAGCTACTCAGGAGGCTGAGGCAGAATTGCTTGACCCAGGAGGTGGAGGTTGCAGTGAGCTGAGATTGCACCACTGCACTCCCTGGGTGATAGAGTGAGACTCTGTCTCAAAAATAAAAAAAAATATAAAAAGGGGTCTACGGACCTTACCAGGATGCCAAAGGATTCTATGACACAACAGAATAAAAAGCCTTCCCCAGGGCAAGTCTCCTGTGGGTGTCAAGGACAGACCTAGCCTCTGATCATGCCCATGTACTTTCTCAGGGGTCAGGAGTAGGAGTGCCTGTCCTCATGCAAGCTTGGCGAGGGAAGGGGCAAAGGAGCTACCTCTAAAATGCACGTGCAACGGTTCATCTCAAGCTTTGAAGCTTTTCTCTTTGTCCCACACCTTGATCTCCGACCCAACTGGTTCCTGCAGGGCCGCCCCAGTCCCCGGGGCATGAGGGCAGTGGGAGGATCTCAGTTGCATTCTCTGGCATCCATACTGCAGGACTGCAGCCGCAAATCCCTCTCCCCACCAGGGCCATGCCAGTGCAGGACCCCGGTCCATGTGAGAAGCAGCACGGGCAGCTGTGCAGCCACAGGACAGCGTGGCCCAGAGGACTGGTGAGTAAGGTTTCTGCTGGGGGTGCCCCAAGCGCTCTCCCCTGATGAGTGAGGACCCCCAGCAGCCCTTTACCCTGCTCTTTTTTTTTTTTTTTTTTTTTTTTGAGACAGCGTCTGGCTCTGTCGCCCAGGCTGGAGTGCAGTGGCGCGATCTCGGCTCACTGCAAGCTCCGCCTCCTGCCTTTACCCTGCTCTTGTTGTTCTCTGTTGCCAGAGGAGAAAGGCTTTCTACAACACCTTCATCTCCGGAGAGAAATTCCCTCCAGATAGGACTATCAAATTCCCTTGTACCTGACTGTCCACACAGTCGATAACTCCACTTTTCTCCTCACAGATAAAAATGAGCACCCACTGGGGTCAGAGTCAGTTCTCGGCTCTGGGGATTCATCAGCAAATGAAACAGAGACCCTTGTCCTCAGGGGCTGATGTGTTTTTGCTGTCTGGTGGCTGGGTTTAGCCCTTGGTGTCTGAAGGAGTGATCTAGGAATTGGCAGATTTCTTCTCTCTCACAACAAACCCTGCTTTCCACAATTATTTCTAAGGAATTCAAAAATCCAAGTTTGGAAGTCAGATACTGAACACAGAGTATTTTGCTTTTTTCTTTGCACGCCACCTAGATCAATTCCAATGCTTCCTGAGATGAATACACATTCAGGCAAGAGGGAGCAGGTCTCACATCAGAGAGTGTGAGAAAGAAAACGACAGTGATGTCTTAAAACTATTATCCTCGTGGCATGTGTGTTGCACACTGCTCTGTGCTAGGTCCTGCCTGGGGCACTCTTGCCCCAACCTCTCTATTTCTCACAACAGCCCGGTGAGACAGTGTTGTCACTCCCATGTGTCAGATGAAGAAAATGAAAAAACGCGGAGCCCTTGTGTCTCCTGGGCAGGTCTGTGACAAGAGATCAATTGAGTCTGGGTCTGGAAGCTGGGATATGTGGCTTTGACTTGGGCTGACCATTAAATCCCCAAGTGCCTTCTTGTGAAGGTCACTTCTGGGCTGTGGTTTCCTTGTTGTTCAGGGTTAGATTCCGTAGTGGACACTGCCAGTGATCTGCCCAGATTCCCTCTCAGAGCAAGTGCACCCATCCTCCAGGGCTAAGGCACATAGCGGACCCCTTCAACGGAGGAGAATTGCCTTTGGCCGAGCAGGGGCTGCTGAACCCTGAGGTAATCCCATCACCATCCCCGGATTAGCCTACAGCCACAGATGGATGAACAAAGAGGTATGACAGCCCGGCCTCTGTCAAAAATGGGAACAACTTATTGATGTCATTCACATCCCAGAGCTTCCTGTGAGATGAGCCAGAAGCTGGACTCCAGTGGGGTCTCTGCTCATCCCCTTCTCCTGCCCTGTCCTGCTTCTTGCCTCTTCTCCTGAGAGCACCCTCCACCCCCGCCTGCCCCGTCTCAGGCTCTGCTGTTAGGGAACCAGGCCTAATGTTGCCTTTTCTAGAAAGGCAGCTGCTCGTCCTCCTGCATAGGCTGGGGAGGGAACTGAGGGAGCTAGGCTGGTAGGGATGAAGGGCATGGGGAGGTGGGAGCAGGGATGCTGATGCTCACTTAGACCAAGGGGGAGACAAGGTCCAAGAGGAGAGTGGGACAGGCCTGAGCACCCCTAGGCTGGCCCATCTGCTTGGACATAGAATCCAAGGTGTATCTCTGAACCAAATGCAAGGATTCTATAACATGTCTGTCCTTCTAGCCTCCAATGACTATTAGGATTCGACTGCCTTTTCCCCAGTCTTCACTCACCCCCCGCCCGAGGGTTAATATTAAAAGCAGCAGAGCGGCCTACATAATTTGCAGGGCCCAGTGGAAAATGAAAATGTGGGGTCCCTTGTCCAAAAAGCAAGAAAAATGAACAGTTAAAGATACTAAAATACAAAGCCTTTCTCTTTCTACTATTTAACGTCATTCTGAGAAAACTCAAAATTTTAAATTATTTGCATGGATCCCACTGTTCATCTGTATATCGAGCAATAACAGGTTTCAGTGCAAGTATAAGAGTACTTAACTCCTATGTGGAATCACTGAAATGACACAATTTGTATTTTGTAGCTTGTATATGTGCAGGATTTCAGGCTTATCAGGACTGTAGAAATGCTGCACAAAGCCAACTCAATGGTTTTACTTCACGTCTTGGTATGTGCATATTCTACCAATGTTTCCTGCCTTTGGCTTACTGATGAGTGAAAAAGAACTGGGAAAAAAAAGGAATTATGGGTTTCTCTATCTTTTCCTTTTCTTCTGGGTCATTATTGTCAGCCTACGTGGTTGGCTAATCCAGGGAAGTAACTTGAATGAAAAAGAATAGGATAGGGTCCCTTAGTTGTCATGCTTCTTAGAACACCACTGCCTTCTTTTAGTGTTTGAAGCAAGTTCTGGATTAAATGGGAAGTGTAGCCCCTCTGGGCTGGAAGCATTCCTACATATTTAACCACAGATATTACACCCCTGCCTTGTACTGGCTTTGAGTCTTGCTAAACTCCCATGCGTCGTGGGCCCACTGGAATTATGTGCTCATGGGGCATCATATATGGGATACGCAAATAGGGCGGCATATGTTCCTATCTCCTCTGCTCATGTACGCACCCCATTGTCCCATCAGACTTCCCCCCCTCCTCCTTCTCCTTCTCTCCTCCTCCTCCTTCTCCTTCTTCCTTCTTCCTTCTTCTTCTTCACAGGCTCAGGCTATAATGCAATGGCATGAACATGGTTCACAGCAGCCTCAACATCCTGGACTCAAATCATCCTCCTGCTTCAGCCTCCCAAGTAGCTGGGGCCGGAAAAAAGCACCACTATGCCCAGCTAATTTTTTTTTTTTGTTGTTGTTTTTGAAACAGAGTTTTGCTCTGTCACCCAGACTGGAGTGCAGTGGCGTGATCCTGGCTCACTGCAACCTCTGCCTCCCAGGTTCAAGTGATTCTCTTGCCTCAGCCTCCTAAGTAGCTAGGATTACAGGAGTGTGCCACCATGCCTGGCTAATTTTGTATTTTTAATAGAGATGGGGTTTCACCATGTTGATCAGGCTGGTCTCAAACTCCTGACCTCAAGTGATCCATCCACCTTGGCCTCCCAAAGTGATAGGATTACAGGTGTGAGCCACTAAGCCCAGCCTTAATTTTTAATTTTTTAAAATTATTTTTTATTTTTGAGATAGAGTCTCACTCTGTCACCCAGGCTGGAATTCAGTGGCATGATCTCGGCTCACTGCAACTTCTGCCTCCCGGGTTCAAGCAATTCTCTTGCCTCAGCCTCCCAGGTAGCTGGGATTACAGGCGTGTGCCACCATGCCTGGCTAATTTTTGTATTTTTAGTAGAGATGGGGTTTCACCATGTTGGCCAGGCTAGTCTCGAACTCCTGGCCTCTAATGATCTGCCCACGTCGGCTTCCCAAAGTGATGTGATTACAGGCGTGAGCCACCACACCTGGCCCAATTAACTTTTTTTTTTTAGAGATGGGTCTCACCGTGTTGCCCAGGCTGATCGTGAACTCTTTAGCTTATGCAGTACTCCTGCCTCAGCCTCCCAAAGTGTTGGGATGACAGGCGTGAACCACCATGTCCAGCCCAAAAGATAAAATTCTTAAGAATTTCACTATAGGCTGGACGCGGTGGCTCACGCCTCTCATCCCAGCACTTTGGGAGGCCGAGGCAGGTGGATCACTAAAGGTCAAGAGTTCGAGACCAGCCTGGCCAAGATGGTGAAACCCCATCTCTACTAAAAATACAAAAATTAGCCGGGTGGATGTGCCTGTAATCCTAGCTACTCGGGAGGCTGAGGCAGGAGAATCCCTTGAACCCGGGAGATGGAGGTTGCAGTAAGCCAAGATCACGCCATTGCACTCCAGCCTGGGCGACAGAGCGAAACTCCGTCTCAAAAAAAAAAAAAGAATTTCACTTTCACTTTTTCAGCACAGTATTAGACCAAGTGCAGGGCGCTTCTGAGTGTGGAGCCATGAGCAGCCACGCGCAGGCTGCACACTCAGGAAGCCCACCCTTCAAGACAGCCACAGCTGAGAGTTACCTGTCACTGCCTTTCTGCCAGGAACTTGCCAACCCCTTTAAATGACTTATTGAATCATCACAACAGCCATTTGAGGCAGATTGTCTTATCTTTCTTTACAGATGAAAAAATGGAGGCTTAGATGTGATGTGTCCCAGCAGTCCCTGGAGACAGGATTCAGCCCTGTTGACTGTTCTTACTCCAGAGCCCAGGCTTTTATTCCCTACACTCTTCTGACCTCTTGGGAAAAACCTGGACCACACCATATCCTCCTTTCCAAAGGTCCCCGTGTTTGCCTCCTACCTGGGCACCGGGCTGCTGGCCCTGCCCTTCAGTTTCTCTCTTGCATGGCAGCTAAGGCAGCCCCCAGAGCAGAGGTCTGACTTCATCTCCCCTCTACTTAAAACCCTTCGCTGGGACTCCATGGCCTAGGGGTAAAACCCAGACTCTCTAATGTGCCATCCAAGGCCCCGGAGAGCTCCAACACCCTCCAGCCCCCTCTGCCTCTCTCTTTCAGTGCAGCTATTCCTACCCACTGATGTGACTTGCTCTCATTCGAGGTACTAGAACTTCTCTTTGTCTTTGCTCCCACTATCCCCCCTGCCTGAGGCACAACTATGAAGACTGCTGACTTCAGGACATGTGGCAGACCCCTGGGCACACTGCCCACCCAGCATTTTACAATATGACTTGGAATGATGTTTCCTAGCAGAGCGATAACCCTAGCAAACTGCCAGGTGGGGTGTGGTGTCTGAGCAGAGCACTCCAGCCTCTGGGAAGACTCCCTCTCTGCTCTGCCCTTGGTTTTTGCCTCATCAAGATTTGCCTTTTCTTCATGGTGGTCTTGACATGTCCGTAACTGGAAACCTCTTGATTTCACACATTTGCAACTTTTAAGAAAAAAAAAAAGTGACACAAAAATGTGTTTTTAACTTTTTGTGAAATATTCCTTTTCTTTTTCTTTATTCTTCTTAACACAATACTTTAGCTAATACTATTTGAGTAACATTTATTGGACATGCAACTCAAACATTATTCTGAAAATTAATAATATCAGAGTGTTGTGCCCTAATGTTATCAGGATAGTGAATGTCCCTATTGCTGGAGCTGAGGAGGGTGAACTCTGTGCTAATTCTCTTTCATGGATGTGGCTTGCTCAGAGAAAATGAAACCCCAGGACCCAATACGACAACAACAAAAATAACATGTGCAGTCTCCACCAAAAGTCACAGGGCGTTCAAATCCAGGGGTGCTTTTGTCCCCAAAGCCCTTATTTGGGGAAGCTTCTTGGGCCATCTTGTTAATTTATCTCTCCAATTAGAAGTATATACATATATATATATAATTAGCTGTGGGTATCTGCTTACAAAACATCCAGTGTTGCTCACAGAATGTTGTAAACCGGCACAATGGAGAGGATCCAGTTACGCCAGCTAACACCCTAGCTGGATAACGTGAGCTGGCGCTATCTCAAGGATGCTGCCCTCCACCGACGAACCCACACCAATGAGCTCAGTGCTGGGGTAGTTTGTGGCACAGGGTGGGAGAGAGGCCATAGGATTCTGGACGGTAGCGGTGTGTCCCTGAAAGCTTTGGGTTGTGTAATATGAACAGTGCTTCTAAGTTTGTTTGGTCAGAGTCTTGGTTCCTTGACCTTTCTTGATCAGCACTGAAGGTGGGGCAGAAGGGTCCTGTTTTCGAGAAACTGCTGAGGTTGTCTCTGCCATCTCAGACTCTTAGGCAGGAAGTTGGACCCATCCAGGTATCTGGGACCTGAGGGCCCCCCATTACTCCAAAGGCAGGGGAGGATTACTGCCAGATATAAGCCAGACAGACTAAGAGGCACGGTCTACACAACCCACAAGGAGAACTGCAGCCAGCTGGTGACTATGGGTCATAGTTTTTTTATTCGTCTGCTTCTCCCCCACCACCCCAGGAGGCAGAGTCAGGGAAAGAAAGTAGGGAGCCTAGATTCAGGGGCTCTGTTCCTTCTGCCCATACGGGATAAGGACAACTGGAATGCTCCTCAAAGCAAAAGTGTTAAACAAAGTCAACCCCCATTTTCAGATGTCGGCTGAAATCGGACACCCCATTTTTAGGTGTCAGCTGAAATCAGATGGGTGACAAGCCCCTCTTCACCCCACACTACCATAAGCAAGTTATTGAAGCTTTCTCTGCCTCCGTTTTTTCATCTGCTGGGTGGAGGTAATTCTGCTACAACTCCTGCAAGAGCCCTTTGGGGACTGAGTGAGATAATATGACCATAACCAGAACACCCCAAAGCCCTGAAGAGTTAGGAGAGCGCTCTGTGGGATTCCTGCTCATATCACTTTACTCCCAGCCTCAGTGCCTAGGCCTGCAGTGCGTCTGGGCCCCACTTTTGCCAGGCACGAATGAGCCTGCCCCTTTCTTCTGCTCCATAATGCACCTGCTGCAAAGTTCCTTACTTCACTGCCTCACGAAGGTATGGCCACATGGTGGTAGAGATGTGGCCCTCGCCTTGTCAGCTGCCCCATCTCCAGCCTCTTCTGTATTCTCTCTATTGTACTGGGCTCTAGGGCTTCCTTTCTATTCCACAGAGCAGCACTAAGCCAGGCTATGATGTGCGATCGCTCATCACCAACCCTTTGGAGATAACCTGGTGTTGTGGTAGCAGAGCCCAGGAGAGCAAAGTCCCCAGCAGAGACAACTTAATTGCTTTAAGTTTCTCAGCCACTTTTGCCATAGGAAATACCTCCTGAACCCCTCTCCTTGGACGTTTTGAATTCTACATACTATTTGTTTCTAGAGCTCACTCCCCCTAGCAAGATTCAGCTCATCTGATATCCTAGAATGTCAGCGTATTCATGCATACAGTTTGGAGTGGAGAAGACCTCCACTGAGCCGGCGAGTCCCCCTTTTTTAAGATTGCTTGGGAACCAGCAGTCCTGTGGTTGGACCACTGCTCAGTGAGCTTTGACCTTGGCAAAGGGAGTGGGAATGGATGCAGGGAGACTTCAACTTTGAGATGCATGTGTCAGGGACAACATTGGTCTCCCTGTCACTTGGGCAAACTCTTTTAAGTCATCACTCTTCTAATCTTTGTCTTATTGTTTGGGGGCACTTGGGTATCTGCTCATATTTCATTGTGAGATGCTGAAAAGCTATGTGGAAGCATTCTGCATGTGGGCAGGCCTTGCTGATGGGTGGGCCTCACTTCAGGACAGTGTTTCTCAATCTCAGCATTAGTGATATTTTGGACCAGTTATTTCTTCGTTGTGTGAGAGCTGTCTTTTGAGTTGTAAGATGTTCAGCAGCATCCTTGGCCTCTGTGTGATAGATACCTGTAACACCCACTTGCTGCCAGGTGAGATAACCCACAGCATCTCCAGGCACTGTTAAATGTACCAGGAGAAGGTGCGGCAGGGGTGGGGGGTGTCCCTCAAGTTTGAGACCCACTGCTGTAGGGTGATGAGGCAGGGATAAGAGATTCCCACTCCCAGTGTTTATGGGCCTTTTCTTCTGGGCAGGGCAGAATTCCCAGAGAAAAATCTTCCCATTTTCCCAGAGAACACACCTTGGCTGCCAGTGTGGGAGCTGAGGAAGAGAAGGTGGCTCGGAGTGCCGCTCATCAGGAGGCGAATTTTCACCCGGTTCTCTTGTTTTCATATGGGTTCTCATCTTGCCCTTGGCTGTGTCTAAGACCCCTCAGCCCAGTGCTTTCCACCATGCCAGCATCTTAAAGAGCCAACTTTGAATCTGCTGAAGTGGGAAAACCTGAGGTCTAACTAGTCTTTTTTGTTTAAGAACAGCTTCATGGAGGTATAATGACCATACTACAAAATTTACCCTTTTAAAGTGAACAATTCTGTGTTTTTTAGTATATTCACACATCTGTCTCTGGTTTTCACAGGTGACTGTTTCATTAAGTTTTTTGAATTTGGTGCTGACTGTGATTACAGCTTACATTTTCCTTTTTGGTAATGTCAGAGGCATTTGAACCAGAGCAACTGGTTGAATAGGGGCTGGGTAAAATAAGGCTGAAACCTACTGGGTTTTATTTCCAGGAGGTTAGGCATTCTAAATCACAGGATGAGACAGGAGGTAGGCACAAGGTACTAGCCCAGAGTGGTGGCTCACACCTGTAATGTCAGCACTTTGGGAGGCCGAAGTGGGTGGATCACCTGAGGTCAGGAGTTCGAGACCAGTCTGGCCAACATGGTGAAACCCTGTCTCTACTAAAAATCAAAAATTAACCAGGTGTGGAGGTACGCGCCTATAGTCCCACCTACTTGGGAGGCTGAGGCATGAGAATCGCTTGAACCCGAGAGGCGGAGGTTGCAGTGAGCCAAGATCATGCCACTGCACTCCAGCCTGGGTGACAGCTCCGTCTCAAAAAAAAAAAAAAAAGAAAAAAAAAAAAAAGAATGAACAAACAAAAAGACCAAACACCTTGCTGATAAAACAGCATGCCATAAAGAAGCCTGCCCAAAACCACCACAACCAAGATGGCCAGGAAAGTGACCTCTGATCGTCCTCACTGCTCATTATATGCTAATTATAATATTTTAGCATGATAAAAGTGTCTTTTTTTTTTTTTTTTTTTTTTTTTTTTTTTGCACCATGACAGTTTACAAATGCCATGGTAATGTCCAGAAGTTACCCTATATGGTCTAAAAGAGGGGGAAGAACCTTCAGTTCCAGGAACTGCCCACCCCTTTCCTGGAAAACTCCTGAATAATCCACCCCTTGTTTGGCATATAGTCAGGAAGTAACTACAATCAGTTGAGCAGCCCACGCTGGTGCTCTGCCTATGGAGTAGCCCTTCTTTATTCCTTTGCTTTCTTAATAAACTTGCTTTCACTTTACTCTATGGAATCGCCTGGAATTTTTGCCCAAGGTCCAAGAACTCTCTCTTGGGGTCTGGATCGGGACCCCTTTCTGGTATCAGTAACACCTTTCTGGTTAATATTCTCAGCCATGTGTGCGCAAGTCCCTCTAAGGCCAGAAGCACGGAGAATGGCTCAGGGTTTGGGGCTTCATCGCCCCTGCGGTCCCCGAACCCTTTCCCCCGACCCCCCGGAGGCCTCGGGGCTGTGCCGAGGGACAGGGGCTCCGGATGCCAGATGCTCTCCATCCTCACCTTCCTATGGAAGCTTGGAAAAGTCAGGTCTCTGAGGCCACTGAAGCTAAAAATTGGGACTTCGGTTTGGGGCGGCAAGCGGGGAGTCAGCCTACGCGGGGTGGCGGGTGCGGAGGGAACGGGGACTCGGCGGCCGGCAGCCTGGGGCGGCACTACGGCGACAGATCGGGACTCGTTCCCTTAAGCGCGAGGTGGGGGCTTAGCCTCTGGTAGGGCGGGTGGGGATTCGGCCGCCGGCGGCGTAGACCATCACTTAGTCTTGGAGCGGAAGGCCGGGTTAGACCTAGGATAAAAAATGCTGAATTCCTTTTCTGGGGGGAAAACTGCGGGATCCGCCTCTGGAGGAAACAGCGGGGCTGAGCCCCTCGGGGAGAGGCGGGGACTAAGCCTCAGGAGCGGGAAGCCGGGAAGCGGGGATTCCATTCGACTCCGGAGAGGGGGACTCCGCTTTCGAATGGAGAGCCGGGACCTTGGCGTCTGGGCCCCGCGGAAGATCGGGAGCCAGCGGGCGCGGTGGCTCACGCCTGTGATCCCAGCACTTTGGGAGGGGGAGTTCGAGACCAGCCTGGGTGACACAGCGAGACTCTCGCTCAAAATAAAAATAGTAAGAGGGAAGGGCCAAGGCAGGGAGGGCGGGCCTGTTGCAGCGCCGGGGCTGGGGTCCGGGCTTCGGGTCGTCCCTGCACCTGGCTTCCTTTCTGAAAGGCCTCCAGATCCTCTGCGAAGGCCCCCTGGGCTCCCCCGGCGGGGCCCGCAGCTCTCCCCCGCGCTGAATCTGAGGAACTGGGCCCGGAAGCTCGCGAGTCTCGGTCCTGGCGGTTCGGGCGGGCGCCCCCTGTTGGCCAAGTTGGGACTTGCCATTGCGGCAAAACCTGCGATTCGGGGCAGGGGCAGGCAGTGGGGGGACAGCCTGGAACCAGAACGCGAAACCCAGCCTCACGGTAAGAAGTGGAGACCTAGTGGACACTAGCAGGTATGTGTGAAAGCAACCTCAAAATCACACGTTCTCTGCCAGGGTAAGCATTTGTTGTGAGTTAGAGCGACTTGAGATGAATTTAAGCAGTATAATTTATCTGTCTCTCTCTGAGGCAGGGTCTCCCTTTGTCCCCCAGGCTGGAGTGCAGTGGTATGATCATGCCTCACTGCAGCCTCGACCTCCCCAGCTCAAGCAGATCCTAAGCCTCCCAAGTAGCTAGGAGCACAGGTGTGTGCTACCATGCCCAGCTAATTTTATTTTGTAGAGAGACAGGGTCTTACTATGTTGCCCAGTCTGGTCTTGAACTCCTGGGCTCAAGGGATCCTCCTGCCTAGGCCTCCCAAAGTGATGGGATTATGGGAGTGGGCCACACCAGCTATCCTAAGCAGTATTTTCAAAGAGGCTCAGAATCACACTTCGATTTTTTTTTTTTTTTTTTTGAGACGGGGTCTCTGTCACCCAGGCTGGAGTGCAGTGGCACGATCTCAGCTCACTGCAACTGTTACCAGAAAGGTGTCCCATCCAGACTCCAAGAGAGGATTCTTGGATCGTGTGTAAGAAAGAAAGAATTCTTAGCCAGGCGTGGTGGTGGGCCCCTGTAATCCCAGCTACTGGGGAGGCTGAGGCAGGAGAATCACGTGAATCCAGGACGCAGAGGTTGCAGTGAGCCAAGATCGCACCATTGCATCCTAGCCCAGGCCAGAGTGCGAGATTCCGTCTCAAAAAAAAAAAAAAAAAAAAAGTACACATAGCTATGGAGTGGGGTTTAGCTGGAAAAGGTGACCTTGCAACTTCAAGTCAACTTCTGGCTCCTCAAACAGTAGGATGGCAGTAAGGCAGGGAAGTTGTTTTCCCATTTCTCACTGAGAAGATTGTGAATATTTCCATATGGATTTTCTATTATAAATGTTACTCTGATTCTTTGTTTTAAAATAAAAATTCTGAATGTAAAAAAAAGAAAAAAAAAGGAAAGAATTCCCTGCGAGTCCATAAAGTGAAGGTAAGTTTATTTAAAAAAAAAAGGAATAAAAGAGTGGCCACTCCATAGGCATAGCAGTGGCATGGGCTGCCGGACTGACTATACTTATAGTTATTTCTTGATTGTATGCTAAACAAGGTGTGGATTATTGATGAGTTTTCTGGAAAAGGGGTGGGCAATTCTCGGAACCGAGGGTTCCTCCCCTTTTTAGACCATATAGGGTAACTTCCTGACATTGCCATGGCATCTGTAAACTGTCATGGTGCTGGTGGGAGCATCTTTTAGCATGCTAATGAATTATAATTAGTGTATCATGAGCAGTGAGGACAACCAGAGTTCATTTTCATCACCATTTTGGTTTTGGCCAGCTTCTTTACCACATCCTGTTTTATCAGCAAGGTCTTTGTGACCTGTATCTTGTGCTGACCTCCAATCTCATCCTATGACTTAAAATGCCTAACCTCCTGGGAATGCAGCCTAGTAGATCTCAGCCTTATTTTACCCAGCCCCTATTCAAGATGGAGTTGCTCTGGATCAAATGCCGCTGCCACAACCTCTGCCTCCCAGGCTCAAGCGATCCTCCCACCTCAGCCTCCCAAGTAGCTGGGTCTACAGGCACAAGCTACTACACCTGGCTAATTTTTTTGTGTCTTTTGTAGAGACAGGGTTTTGCCATGTTGCCCAGGCTGGTCTCGAGCTCCTGAGCTCAAGCTATCCACCTGCCTTGGCCTCCCAAAGTATTGGGATTACAGGCGTGAGCCACCATGCCTGACCTCACACTTTGATCTTAAAAGTAACTTCTTATTATGAGTCGGAGTAAATATAAATGTAATTAAGCAGCTTATGTTAAAATTGAAACTGAGCCAGATTGACTTATTGTGAACTACACAGTACGTTAGCTCAGAAAGACAGACGAACAAACTGGCTCAGAAAGACTTATCTCCAACTAAGTAATCTTTTTGTAAGTTTGAGCAAATGAAGTAGGTTAAATAAAAACAGGTTGCGTCACGTCTAAGGTAACTCCAAAGTACCTTATTATGTTGAAATAAAAATGTATGTTTACAAACAAGTAGAGTGTTTGCAAACAAGCTAAGAATCAGACATTCCCCTCTAAGGAAACTTCTAATGGTGAGAAACTAAATAAAATGAGTTAGAACCAATTTAGATAAATCTAAGCAGTATTAAGGAATATGTCCTTAACCTAACTTGTTATGTGGAATTAGACTCCATGTAGTCAGTACTAAGCATTTTAGGTGAAATCAAGCTCAAAATTACTCATTCATTTTACACCACACTTTTATTGCTCCTTAGAGATAATTCATATGTAACAGTTGATATTAAAACAAGTGTAGACTCAAGCATTCTCAAAAGGACCTTCTTAGAGTAACTTAGAGTATATCTAAGAGTTTATGTTAAATCAAGCTCAAAATAACTTATTCATTTTAAACAAACCTTACATGCTTCTTAAGTGCTTTGTAACTTTACATGTGCAAAGAAGCTGAGAAACGCATTCGTTTCAAAGTGTCCTGCTTCCCTCACTCGCTAGGGGGAGCCCCTCCGGCCTGGCATAAAGGCCGCTTTTGAGAAATTGATTTTGACCGCGACCACCCACGTCTATGTCCCAGCTTTTCCCTCCAGAAGCTGAGTCCAGATTTTCAGCTTCAGAGGCTAAGACCCCATCTTCCATTTCAGAAGCTAAATCCCCACTCCCCACACAGAAGCTAGAGACTAAGATCCTACTTCTCCATCCAAAGGCTAAGTTTCCACCATATACCCACTGGCTAGGTCCACACTTCCCTCTCCGGAGGCTGAGCCCCAATTCTGACTGCAGAAGTCATCTCTTGCCTCAGAGACTACATCCCACTACCCACACCTGAGTCTAGGTCTCTGCTTCTAGAGCTGGAAGCTGAGTCCCCAGAGGTCTCCCATCAGGTGAGGGCCCTACTTCTCCCTCCAGAGGCTACATCTGGATTTGGGCTCCACAGGCTATCTCTACCTCTCTCCCTAAAGGCTACTTCTGTCTCCAGAATATAAAAAGTCCACCGTATTCTTCCCAATGCTGAGTCCCCATCTGACTCCAGAGAAGAAGCCCCCACTGTTCACCCCAGAGGTGAAGTTTCCACTTTCTGCCCCAGAGTCTATGCCTGCCCTGATTATGACTCCAGTGGCTAAGTTCCCAATGCTTGTACCATAAGCAAGGTTTCCACCATCTGCCCAGGGGGTAAGTCCACTCTTCTTCCAGAGGCTGGGTCTGGATTTCAACGCCAGAGGTTAAGTACCTATCTTTTGCCCCAGAGATTACACGTTCATTTCCCTCAGCAGAGGCTACATTCTTGCTTCTCCTTCCAGATGCTATGTCCTCACCACTTGTCCCAAAGGCTAAGTCTACACTTATCCCTTCTAAAAGATGAGTTTTGGTTTCAGTTCTACAGACTAAATCCATGCCACTCATTAAAGACTTCCCACTCCAGAAGCTTCCTCCCTGCATCTCCCCCAAGAAGCTAAGTCCCCTCCCCTTGCCCTGGGGCTGTGTCCCCACCTCTCCCTCCAGAAGTGAAGTCCCCATTTTTTGTTTCAGAGTCCAAGTGCCAACCTGTGCTGCCAGCAACTGTCCCCAATATTCTCTTCCAGAGGCTGAATATCTGCCACTTGCCTATGGTGTGAGTCACCACTTTTCGGCGTAGAAGACGAGTCCCCATGTTCACAAGTGCTTTACAGGGGGTGCCTGCCCAAGTTTCTGGGACCAGAGCTGACCAATGATCTTCCCAGACCCATTTCCCACTGATTCTCCTCTTTAAGATGAGTTAGAGCATATCTAGTAAAATAAAATAAAATAAAATAAGCAGTATATTAATGAACAAGCTCAGAATCAGACATTGTTCTGAAAAGCGATTGTAGGCTCTTAGGAATAATTAAAATGTAGCTAGGCATAGGTAGCACATATTTTAATTTAAAAAATTATTTCTTTTTAATAGAGACGGGGTCTTGCCATGTTGTCCAGGCTGATCTCTAACCTCTGGGCTCAAGAGATCCTCCCACCTTGGCCTCCTAAAGTGCTGGGATTATAGATGTGAGGTACCACGCCTGGCTAGTAGCACATAAATTAGGTGATATAAAGGAAGTCAAGTTCAAAATCACTCATCCATTATAAATGAAATTTATACATTTAATAAATGATATATAAACTTCATAGTATATACAAACTAGCTCATAAAGTGCATGTAGAATACAAACATAGAATCTTAAAGTGCATTAAATTAAGGTGAATCTAAGCAGTATTAGTGAAACTTAGCTCAGAAGCAGTCATTATCCTCCAAAGTACTCTATTATGTTGAATTAGTAGAAATATAGATTAAACTATGTACAACCAAGCAGTAAACAAGCTAAGAAACAGACTCTCCCCTCTTAATAAGTGTGAAATGGTCAGATAGAGCAGATAAAAATAACTTAGAGCCAAATTACATGAATCTAAGCAGTATTAGAGAAAATAATCTTACAATCACACCTTGTTCTCTAAATTTCCTTATTTTTTTGTGACTTACAACAAATTAGGATGAACCTAGGCAATTTAAATCAGAGTCATCTCCCTATGGTGAATTCAATTAAATATATGTGAAACTAAACAGAACAGTTGAAAACAGGCAGGAAATCACACTTTCAACTAAGGTTCAGGTCCAGGTTCAGGAACATCTCAAATGAAATGTCCATTGTGTGTTAGAGCATATTTAGATGAAACCAAGCTGTTTATGTCAAATGAGTTCAGAATCTATCATTTTTCCTGAATGAGTCAGGGTTCTCCAGAGAAACAGAACCAATAGAATGTGTATGTATATGCGTATACACACACATGCACACACACATATGGAGATTTAGTATAAGGAATTGCTTCACACAATTATGGAGGCTGGCAGGCTGGAGCCCCAGGGGAGCCAATGGTGCAGTTCCAGTCTAAAGGCAGTCTGCTGAAGAATTTCCTCTTGTTCAAGGAGGCTGGTCTTTTTGTTCTATTCAGTGAGGTGAGGCAAATCTGAAGGCGAAGTCCAGAGTCAGTGTGAGTGTGAAGGTCAGGTTCATGGTTAGGACCAGAGTGAGTGTGAGAGTGAGCTGGAGGTACAGGGTCAGAGGGAGAGTCAGTGTCACAGTCAGGATTAGGGTGTCAGTGTCAGAATCATTATGAGAGCGTAGTAAAGGAGTCTGTGGCAGGGTGTGGGTAGTGAGTTGGTATGTAATGTGGGGTAGGTCACGGGGTATTTGAGGGAGTAAGTAGAGAATGAGTATGGGTCAGAAAGTAGTGAATGGGTGGATTAGTCCATTTTCACACTACTATAAAGAACTACCCAAGACTGGGTAATTTAAAAAGGAAAGAGGTTTAATTGACTCACAGTTGCACATGGCTGGGTAGGCCTCAGGAAACTTACAATCATGGTGGAAGGTGAAGGGGAAGCAAGGCATGTCTTACACGATGGCAGGAAAGAGAGAGGGGGGCAGGGAACTGCCAAACACTTTTAAACCATCAGATCTTGTGAGAACTCACTATCATGAGGACAGCATGGATGAAACCACCCCCATGAGCCAATCGCCTTCCACCAGGTCCCTCCCCTGACATGTGGGGATTACAATTCGAGATGAGATTTGGGTAGGAACACAGAGCCAAACCATTATCAGTGGGTGTGGGCTGCAAGGGTAGGCACTGAATGGTTTACAGGGGAGAGGTAGGTGGTGTGTGGGTGATTGTCAGAGCATAGGTATTGAGTGGATGTGAAGCAAGTGGTGTAGGGAAGTGGACACGGGGCTGAGAGCATGTGGTATGTTGGAAGGTAGTGTCTGTAAGGGAGGGTTGTAGGTTGTGAGTGAGTGTGGAACCGGAGGGGTAGCTATTTAGAAATCAGAAGTTAGAGTCTGGCACTTGTGAGTACTATTGTGTATTTTGGAGTACTTTGGAGTACAAAAGATTATTTGACAACAGTTAGTGATTCTATGTTGGCTTCAGAATTCTAGATTCTACTTAATTTGCTCTAACTGGCAATAAGAAGGATCTTTTAAGAGCAATGTGACAATGAGCTCATTTACACGAATACTGCTTTTGATTCATTATAATTCTCCCAAATAGAAATAAATCTTTGAGGCTGGGCGCGGTGGCTCACGCCTGTAATTCTAACACTCTGGGAGGCCAAGGTCGGCAAACTGTCTGAGTTCAGGAGTTCAAGACAAGCCTGGTCAACATGGCGAAACTACGTCTCTACTAAAAAAATACAAAAAGGTAGCCAGACGTGGTGGCACGCGCCTGTAATCCCAGCTACTCAGAAAGCTGAGGAAGGGGAATCACTTGAGCCTGGGAGGCAGAGGTTACAGTGAGCCGAGATCGAGCCACTGCACTCCAGCCTGGGTAACAGAGTGAGACTCTGTCTCGAAAAAAAAAAAGAGAGAAAAAAGGAAAAAAAAATAAACCTTTGAGTACTTTTAAAATTTTATTAAGGACAATATGTGATTTTGAGATGTCTTTCACATATAATGTTTCCATTTGTCTTAGCTCTAAGTACAGTTTTGATGACGGTGTGTTTCTCATCTTTTATTATTATTATTATTAAAGCTTACTTTCATGTCAATTTATTCTAATAAGCAATAACAAATTGAGGCCAAGGGCAACGGCTCACTCCTTTAATCCCAGCACTTTGGGAGGCTGAGGTGAGAGGATCACTTGAGGCCAGGAGTTCAAGACCAGCCTGGGTGACAGAGGGGGACCCCATCTCTACAAAAAAAAAAAATTAATAACTAGCCAGGCATGGTGGTGTGTGCCTGTAGTCCCAGTTACTTGGAAGGCTGAGGTGGGAGGACTGCTTGAGCCCAGGAGGTCGAGGCTGCAGTGAGCCATGATGATGCCACTGCACTCTAGCCTGGGTGACAGAGTGCAGAGTAAGACCCTATCTCAAAAAAGAAAAAAAAAAAAGACCAGAGGGAATTCTTCAGCAGGCTGCCCCTTTGGACTGGAACTGCACCATCGGCTCTCCTGGTATATGTATATGTGTGTATATATATACATATACATCAGCTATATATGTGTGTATATATATATACACACATATACATTGGCTGAATGTGTATATATGTGTGTGTATATTTGTATATATACCTGTGTGTGTGTATACATATACATATACAAATACATAAACACATACAAATTCTGTTGCTTCTATTTCTCTGGAGCACTCAGTCTCATTCAGGAAGAATGATAGATTCTGAGCTCGTTTGACATAAACAGCTTGGTTTCATTTAAATATGCTCTAATGCACAATGAAACATATCATTTGAAATATTCCCAAACCTGGACTTGAACCTTAGTTGGAAGCATGGTTTGCTGTTTTCAAGTATTCTGCTTACTTTCATATACATCTGATTGAATTCACCATAGTGAGTTACCTTAGATATGAATGTATGATTCTGACTTAAATTGACTAGGTTCATCCAGATTTGTTGTAAGTCACAAAAAGTAATGACCGTGACAGTGACACTAATCATGAAGGACATCCTCAATGTCAACTCACTCTCATCTTCTCCTTGACCCTGAACCTCACGCCCACCTTTACCCTAACACTTTCTGGCCTTGAGCCTGACCTTTATCCTCAACCTGACCCTCAATGTGATCATAACCCTTATCCCAACCCTTGCCTTAAACCTGACCTAAGCCTCATACACTGGACCTGAATTGCACTTGACTCTCTCTTTCTCAATCTCCCTTTCATCCTCAGCTAGACCTCACTCTCCCTCACTCTCACCTTCACCCTGACCCTCAGTTTCATCTTGACACTTGCCCTTGACGCTAAACCAGACCCTCATCATCACTGTTGTCCTGACCCTACCCTGCTCACTCATCCTCACTCTGAGTTTATTCCTCAGATGGACTCTTACTTTGACACTGACCTTGATCTCACTCTCATGCCCACGCTCACACTCACTGTGCACTTGCTCTCACTCTGACTTTAATCCTCACTGGGACCTACTCTGATCCTAAATCAAACACTAACCCTCACCCTCAGCCTGACATTAACAGTGACTCTGACCCTCACAGCATCACTCTGGCCCCACCTTTACC
The DNA here is from genome assembly GCF_000001405.40 of Homo sapiens. Classification (NCBI taxonomy): domain Eukaryota; kingdom Metazoa; phylum Chordata; class Mammalia; order Primates; family Hominidae; genus Homo; species Homo sapiens. The sequence continues at coordinate 2,516,350 of NC_000020.11, read as the reverse complement.
CTAAATCACAATCCCCTCCCTTTTTGAAGACAGGGTCTCGCTCCATTGCCCAGGCTGGCCTCTAATTGTTGGACTCAAGCAATCCTCAGCCTCCTGAGTAGTTGGGATTACAGGCATGCACCAGGACATTTGGCTTCTAAATCACATCCTTAACATCTCTGTGACCCCGACTCTCATCCTCACCTTGATTCCGACCTGAACCAAACACTCAGCCTGCTCTCTCCCAAACCCCAACCTTGATCATCACCCTAATTCTCAACCTCACCCTCACCCTAGCCCCCATTCTCACTTCATCACCTCAATCTGACCATCACTCTCACTTTCAATCTGGCCCTGACATTCACCCTCACATTCACCCCTTTCTGACTCTGACCTTGACCCTCAATCTCACTCTGAGTCTGACTCCCCTCCTCCTTTCACAGCCGCTGACCCTGACACTCATCCTTACTCCAATCCTCCTGATGATGCAGATACGGATCATCGCCCTGACTGTGTGACGCTCACTCTGGTACCATCACCTGAGCCTGTCTCTCACTCTCATGTTGAACCTCGAAGTCTAAGGTTGAAGTTCATGCCCAAGATCAAAGTCAAGGGTAAGGGTTAAGCAAAGACCCTCAACCATACATTTCTGTTAACTACAGCTTATTTCTTGTTCATATAACTAGTAAGAACTACTGACAAGTAGAGATAACAAGATAACCCATACTAACTAGGTAACTAGACATAATTAGAATAACTACAGTATGTAAAAGAGAAGCTCCAGGACATACATGTGTCTCAAGTTATCACTAGTTATCTATTTAGCAGTAGTAGTTCAAAAAAGAAGTTAGAGTTGGAGTACTTTTGAATGCTTTTGGAATATTTTTTGGAATATTTTTTAAGATTCTTTGGAGAACAATTCTGAGCTGATTTCACAAATCCTGCTGAGTCATTGTAATTCCTCCATATAACAATACATATTTTGAATGCTTCTGACTACATTTGTAAATTTATTAAGAACAATATGGGATTCTTAATGTGGTAATATATTGAGGCTAAAAAAGAAAAAAACCAATATGGGATTCAGAACTCATTTTCACAAATATCATAAATAGCTCTGACAAATAATAAGACGAAGGTGTCTTTATCACCTGGTTTGTTTAAAGTTTACATTAATATCAATGTATTCTAATCAGCAGTAAATCTAGTAAAATGTCTGAACTTGTGTTTACTAACACTGCAGTATTAGTCTTTTTTTCCTTTCTTTTTCTGATTTGGCTTCTTCTTCTCTTTCTTCTTCTTCCTTCTCCTTCCTTCCTTCTTCTCCTTCCTTCCTTCTTCTTTCTTCTTCTTCTTCTTTTTTTTTTTTGATACAATGTCTCGCTCTGTCACCCAGGCTGGAGTGCAGTGCAGTGGTGCAATCTCAGCTCACTTGGCTCACTGCAACCTCCGCCTCCTGAGTTCAAGCAATTCTCGTGCCTCAGCCTCTTGAGTAGCTGGGACTATGGGTGCATGCCACCAAATTTGGCTAAATTTTTGTATTAATATTCTTAGTAGAGATGGGGTTTCGCCATATTAGCCAGGCTGGTCTTCAACTCCTGGCTTCAAGTGATCTGCCTGCCTTGGCCTCCCAAAGTGCTGGAACTACAGACGTGAGCCACCATGCCTGGCCTGCTTTGGCTTCTAATTCATTAAACACACAGTATTAGTCTTACAAAAATTTTTTAAAAGATATATATAATATTGAGCTTTAAATTAGACTGCTTATTTTTACAAATACTGACTGGATTCATCTTACTTTGATTTGACTAGCAACGAGAAGGTTCTTTGAGAACATGTATGGCTATGGGCTCATTTACACAAATACTGCTTTGATTCACTATAATTGCTTATAACTCCCAATAAGAGAAATTCTAAGATCTTTGAAGTTTTGAGCATCTTAAGTACTTTTGAATCCTTTTGAAGATTCTTTTGAGAACACAGGCGATTCAAGCTCATTTTCATAAATGCTCCCTAGCTACATTTAATTTGGTCTTACTTACAGAAGAAAAGTGCAGTTGAGGCAAATGTGTGTTCTTTGGCTTTTAGCTCATATAAAGGTGATATTTATCTCAATTCATTCTAATAGAAGAAATTTCACATTTAAGCATTTTAACCATTTTAAGTTACACAGAGTCATTCAGTACATTCACAATATTGCCCAACCATCACCATTATCTAATTCCAGAACGTTTTCATTTTTTGTTGTTCTTTTTCTATTTATTTTCTCATTTTAAAACTTCTTTTTCCTTTTATGTGATTCTCCAATTAAGACATCCCGTTATGGCAATTCCAGAATATTTTCATCGCCCCAAAAGGGAATCCTGTGCCCATTAAGTGGTCATTTTGCATTTCACCTTTCCACTAGACCCTGCTACTAATCTACTTTCTGTCTCCATGGATCTGCCTATTCCGGACATATAAATTCATTTAAGTGGAATGATACAGTGTATGGTCTTTTGTGTCTGGTTTCTTTCACTTAGCATAATGTTTTCAAGGTTCATCCATGTTATACCATATATCAATACTTTTATGGCTGAATACTATTTGATTGTATGGATTTATCATATTTTGCTTATCTGTTCACCAACTGATGAACATTCGGATTGTTTCCACCTTTCAGCTATTCTGAATAGTGCTGATGTAAACATTCTATAAAAGTTTTTGTTTGAACACCTGTTTTCAATTCTTTGGGGCATATAGCTTGGAGTAGAAATGCTGGGTCAAATGCTAATTCTATGTTTAACTTATTAAGGAACCACCAAACGGATTTCCCCAACAGATAGAACACTTTACATTCTTACCAGCAATGTACAGTATAAGGGTTCTAATTTCTCCACAACTTTGCCAACAGTTGTTATTTTCCATTAAAAAAGTATTTTTATCATAGCCATTCTAGTGGGTGTGAAGTGGTATTTTATTATGGTTTTAGTTTGTGTTTCTCTAATTATTAGTGACAGTAAGCATTTTTTTGGTGTGTTCTTGCTGGCTGTTTTGTATGCAGTTATTTCTTCAAAATGTTTATTTGAGTCCTTTGCTCATTTTAAAATTGGGTTGTTAGTCTTTTTGTTATTGAGTCATAGAAATCTTAATATATTCTGGACATTAGACCATTATCAGATATATGATTTGCAAATATTTTCTCTCATTCTTATGGGTTGCCTTGTCACTCTTCCAGTAGTGTCCTTTGGCGCACAAAGTTTTAAATTTTGATAAATTCCAATTTCTTTTTTGAGACAGGGTCTCACTCTGTCATCCAGGCTGGAGTGCAGTGGTACAATCATGGCTCACTGCAGCTTGGAACTCCCAGGCTCAAGCTATCCTCCCAGCTCAGCCTCCCAAGTAGCTGGGACTACAGATGCCTGCCACCACACCCAGCTATTTTTGAGGGGATTTTTTTTTTTTTTTTTTTTGGTAGAGAAATGGTCTATGTTGCCTAGTCTGGTCTTGACCTCCTGAGCTCAAATGATCCTCCTGCCTTGGCCTCCCAAAGTGCTGGGATTACAGGGGTGAGCCACTGCGACTGGCCCAATTTATTTTTCCATTTGTTGCTTCTGCTTTTGGTGTCACATCTAAGAAACAATTTTTCAGATGCAAGGTAATGAAAATTAACCCTTATGCTTTCTTCTAAGAGTTTTAGCTTTTATATTTAGATCTTTATAGTCTTTGAGTTAATTTTTGTATACAGTGGGAGGTAGAGGTCCAACTTCATTCTTTTACTTGTGGTTATCCAGTTGTTCCAGCATGATTTATTGAAAAGGCTATTCTTTCCCCATTAAATGGTCTCGGCATCCTTGTTGAAAAGCAATTGACCATTTCTCTACAGTTTCATTTCTGGACTTTCAATCCTATCCATTGGTCTATGTCTACCCTTATGGCAGTACCACACTGTTTTAATTACTGAAGCTTTGTATTAAGTTTTAAAATTAAGAAGAGTGAGTCCTCCAACCTTATTCTTTTTCAAAATTGTTTTGGCTACTCTGGGTCCCTTAAAATTCCATACGAACTTTAGGATCAACTTTTCCATTTCTGCAAAAAGGCCATTGGAATTTTGACAAGGATAGCATTGCATCTGTAGATTGCTTTGAGGAATAATGCCATTTTAACAATATTAAGCCTTCCAACCCATGAACGGAGTATGTAATTTCATTTATTTGGAGCTTACACAATTTCTTTCAGCAATGATTTGTAATTTTCAGTGTACAAATCTTGTGCCTTCCTGGTTAAAGTTATTCCTAAATATGTTATTCTTTTTGATGCTATTGCAAATGGAACTATTTTCTTATTTTCAAATCGTTTGTTAGTTATAGAAATGTAGTGTTTACTATATACAAGATCACATCATCTGTGAATAGAGATAGTTTTACTTCTTCCTTTCCCATTTGGATGGCTTTTCTTTTTCTTGTCTAATTGCTATAAATAGACCTTCCAGTACAATGTTGAATAGAAGTGGCAAAAGTAAGCATCCTTGTCTTGTCACTGACCTTAGGGGAAGAGTTTTCAGTTTTCACCATTGAGTATGATGTTAGCTGTGGGTCTGTCATAATTGCATCCCATGCTGTGAATGTAGGCTTTGAGACTGCTGAAGAGCCAGGGAGGAAAGCAGGGCGAGGGGCAAGTAAAACATTGCAAAATTTTCCTAATTTTCTCTTTTATGAATAGACTTCATTTTTAGATGAATTTTATGTCCATAGCAAAATTAAACAGAAGGGACAGAGATTTCCCATTGATGTCACCTCTGTCCTTGTATTTTTAATTCAACTGTTCCATAGATTTTATTCACGTGATGAATAACAGTCACATGGAGCACAGAGGGATGCTGAGGGAGGGCTCCAGATCAAGGGCTGGATTTGAAACTGTCCCAATTGTCCCACAGAATTGATGTTTATGGTTTCTTTGAATAAACAGAAATTGGTCCTTCCAGGCCAGGTGCGGTGGCTCATGCCTGTAATTCCAGCACTTTGGGAAGCTGAGGTGGGAGAATCACCTGAGCCTAGGAGTTTAAGATCAGCCTGGGCAACATGGTGAAACCCCATCTCTACAAAAAATTAAAAAATATTGCCAGGTGTGGTGGCATGTGCCTGTAGTCCCAACTACTCGGGGCTGAGGTGGAAGACTCACTTGAGCCCAGGAGGTTGAGGCTACATGAGCGGTGATCATGCCACCGCACTCTAGCCTGAATGACAGAGCAAGTCCCTGTCCAAAAAAAAAAAAAGAAAGGAAAAGGAAAGAAAAGAAATGGATTCCCCCAGTCTTAAAACTTGAGAAGGTCACATTTGTCCTGAGTTCCTTTCTCAGGAAAACCAAACATCAGGCCTCCCAGATAGTATCAAGGAGCTGCAACTTACCAAATCATTGCATGTGGACAATGAGAACCCACACTCCTCATCAGTCATATTGCCTAACCAATCACCTCCTTCCTGTTCCAACTTACCTCTCCCTAATTTCTGTTTTCCCACACATAGTTACATTTCTTCCCTGCTATACAAACCCCTGATTTTGGTCAGTCAGGGAGATGGATGTGAGACTGATCTCCCATCTTCTTGGCTGCAGCACTCAATTAAGGCCTTCTTCCCTTGCAATACTCGTCTCAGTGATTGGTTTTCTGACTGGCAACCAGCAGGACCTAGACCCAACCCCTGGTGTTTCAGTAACAGATTCTGCCCAGTACTAACACGGCAGCCTCCAAGACAAGAGAAGGGAATTGGTCCTTTCTGTGAAAGGCAGGACAGAATATCAAGAAATGTTTGTCTGTCTCCTGGCTCACAACGGCCTTGGGGCCATGTTCTCTATCTCCTGAGTACTGGAGAACAGAGAAGCCTCAGAAGGCTGATATTGGGAAGGTGAAAAGAAATAAGAAGATGGAAGGAGGTGTTGGAGAAAATAAAAACAAAATCTCCTGCTAACCCAGAAAATCCCCTTCACAAACGTAGAAAAGAAGGAGAACAGTTTTATTACCAAATAATATTGAACTGGACTGGGAAGCACATTGTAGACAATCTGCTAATCAGATGCCAGACAGAAAGAGATCTTACTTTTTATCTAGTTGGGCAGATACAATCTATTACAAACATGTCCTCAAAATTAATGGTAATTTGCCCCCTTGTAAGAGGATTTGACATTGTTTGCTATACAATTTTTCATAATTCATTCTAAATTCACCTGGTAATTGGAGTAGCCATCTACACTAGTTAATTGCCTTTATCAAAAAGAAAAAATAAAACTTTTATCTGTGACAAGCGGGCAGTTACGAGTTTGGAGCTAGGCACCTAAGCTAAACTCCCAAGGTGACAGGGAGATAAGGGCACTATCTTCTTCACTGTTTACATTTCAAAGAGATGGCTCATCAGGCCTTTGGGGGAAACATTCCTCTTTTGTAAAGTTGGCAGGTGCTTATTCAGCCTTTCAAAAGTATCAGGTACATATCAAAGGAGCACTTATACATAGATTTCTCATGGAAATACTCCAAGGGCGTGAGGTCAGGTTTATTTCCCCTTCAGTAACAAGTAAAATTTAATTCAATTTGTATTTGCCATTAAGATTTAAACGCGCCTCCTATGAGCTGAAGGTCTGATCTGCAAACCCCTAATTGCCGTGTTGCAGAAGGTACCAGCGTAGCCCAGTTTTAAAAATATTATTAGTTTTAAAATATATACATTTAACTCCTGGGCTCAAGCCATCCTCCAGCCTCAGCCTCAGCCTCCCTCGGGGTTACAGGAATCCCAGGCGCGCGCCACCACGCCCGGCTCTAGTAGCCCAGATCTGAACCGGGATCTTAGATAAGAGGCCAGAGAGCCAGACTCCAGCCTGAGTGAAGCTTCCACCCTCCAGAAACTGGATGAGAGTCTGTCCCTAACTTTGAGGACTTCGACAAGAAAGGTGACTACAGGCCACCCACAGGAGTGCACTGGTGTTGAGGGTAAGGGTTCAACTGAGACGCTGGGAGGCGGCTTTGCCCTGCCTGTGTGTCACAGGCAACACGAAGTCGAATCTACATAGTGCTCACGCAAGGTAGTTCGCGTGCTATGGAGCCTCAGCCCAGGGAATTCAGGTGGTCCGGTGCAGTAAACTCTGTACCCAACACACGCCTGACAGACAGCGCATTGCTCCCGCTAGATTCGCCAATCGGAAATGACTTCTCTCGTTGACCCCAGCTTCCGGAAGCGCCTGCGGAAGCTGCCGCAGAGGCTTGTGGGGAGTGTAGTCTTTTTTTTGCAGAATGGGCCAAGGGGACAGAGACTTCACTCGGGAGCCAGAACCTGTTTTCAACATGGGTATTTTAAGAAGAGACGGAGAGGCTGTCACTGCAGTGGTCACTGTCCTGGAAAAGTAACCGTTGCACGGCCCAGAAGTGGCTCTGTGGCGGCCAATGGGAGCCGAAGCCTGCGAGGATGTTGGGAATTGTAGTTCTGGCGTCGGTCGGTGGCCGAGATCCCGGGCACGCTGGCTCTGGTGAGCGCGGCCTCCGCGGCTCCTTGGCCCCAGGATGCCCTCTCTCGTGGGGAAAGGAGGGTCGGGAAAGGCCGAGCGTAGGTTAGGACGCGGGGTAGAGTGTGGCCAATGGGGAGTGCGGGTTGGAGATATTTGGTTTTTGGAGGAGAGGGCGCAGCTCGCGGTGCTCATTGGGGCGAGGCGATGGGGTGAGCCCCTGCTTGCCCGGACCTCCGCGGACCTTTTTTCCCCCCGGGGGGACGAGAGTGACCTAGAACTCTAATGCCTGTCTTGAACCAGGCGGGATTATTCTGGGTCAACCAGTTTTCGAATACGGAGGGCGGCCCCAGTCGTGCGTCCTGGGGTTTATTTGGGCTGTGGGGTTGAGTTCTGCCAGGGCCAAATGGACCAACATCCCCGCGGCTGGGGTGGGGACGTGGCTAGGTCCGCACATCCCTGGGTGGTTTTTGGCTGGGGAGCGTCTTGAGTCCTGCATCACCGAGTTTTTCTGTTTTTTGGGTGGGGCTGGATATGTCCCGAGTGGTGACCGGGGTGGTTAGGGGGAGGCCGTCTCAGGCCTTGATGCTTGATGGACCTTGGTTTATTAGGGGTTGGGGGGTTGGAAGTGGAGGTGAGCTTGACGTGGTCAAAATATCCTGAGAGGGCCTGGGCGAGTGTCTTGGGTCAGGAGTCCCTGGGGTTTTTAGGGAGGTGAGGGAGGTTTCGTCCTCTGATAGTGGTGGGCTGTATCACTCTGACAGGCATCTAGGCAGCTCTTTTGAATGGGGGCAGGTCTTTTCTCTGGGACCTGTTGTCTCAAGGTGTGTCATGTGGGAGGTGCCCCCTGTGCTTTGTGGCAAAGTTCCTGGGTTTGGTCGTCATCTGGGTGGCCCGTCTGGCTGACTCCTTTCCTGGACTGCTTTTCCCTCACATGTTAGGGCCAAACATCTGGTTTGGGGCTGTGAAGGGTTAGGTCTGGTGGGGAACTCTGACGGCTTCTAGTTAACAATCCAAATCACTTCCGGCATATGGTGAGTTCTGGATATCAGGCGTTTAATTTTATTTTTAATTTTTTCGTAGGGACAAATTTTAAACCTACCTAGTAGAGCTATTCAGTGAACTGCCACGGACCTGTCACCAGATTCCACATTTGTTAACTCATGGCCAATTTTGTTTCATCTACATCCCCTCAACCCTATGTGTGGATACACTTTGAGAATTGTCAGACCCCACAGGGATTGGCCATTGCTGACATCATTACTGGCCCAGCTGGCTAAGCGTGTGGCGCTCCACAGCTAGACTTCAAATCTAGGCACTTTCTAGCATTGTCAATTTGAGGAAGGTGTAGAACTCATGGAGCTTTGGGGAGGTAAAACTTGCATGGTGTCTGGAATTGCCTCTGGTATACAGTAAGAGTTTAGTAAGTGTTAACTATTACTAATAGTATTATAATTTGAGGCCCATAGGCATTAAAGGGATAAATATGTAATAGCAGCTTGTCAGGGCAGACTGTATTCTGATGTCCCCACATGGTTCTGTCCCCTAGAAGCTGTTTACATTATTCTCTTCTCTGACAGATCTGAGGCTTATTTTGTTAAAGGAAAAGGAGGCCTGCTCTTTTTTTTTTTTTTTTTTTTGAGACACAGTTTCACTCTTGTTGCCCAGGCTGGAGTGCAGTGGCGCGATCTCGGCTCACCGCAACCTCCACCTCCCGGGTTCAAGCGATTCTTCTGTCTCAGCATCCCGAGTAGCTGGGATTACAGGTGTGCGCCACCATGCCCAGCTAATTTTGTATTTTTAGTAGACACGGGGTTTCTCCATGTTGGTCAGGCTGGTCTCGAACTCCTGACCTCAGGTGATCTGCCTGCCCCGGGCCTCCCAAAGTGCTGGGATTACAGGCATGAGCCACCGCTCCCGGCTGGCCCACTCATTTTATTTTTTTATCTTTTTTTTTTTATTATACTTTAAGTTCTAGGGTACATGTGCGCAACGTGCAGGTTAGTTACGTATGTATACATGTTCCATGTTGGTGTGCTGCACCCAGTAACTCATCATTTAACATTAGGTATATCTCCAAATGCTATCCCTCCCCGCTCCCCTCACCCCACAACAGGCCCCGGGGTGTGATGTTCCCCTTCCTGTGTCCATGTGTTCTCATTGTTCAATTCCCACCTATGAGTGAGAACATGTGGTGTTTGGTTTTTTGTCCTTGTGATAGTTTGCTGAGAATGATATTTTCCAGCTTCATCCATGTCCCTACAAAGGACATGAACTCATCATTTTTTATGGCTGCATAGTATTCCGTGGTGTACATGTGCCACATTTTCTTAATCCAGTCTATCATTGTTGGACATTTGGGTTGGTTCCAAGTCTTTGCTATTGTGAATAGTGCCGCAATAAACATACGTGTGCATGTGTCTTTATAGCAGCATGATTTATAATCCTTTGGGTATATACCCAGTAATGGGATGGCTGGGTCAAATGGTATTTCTAGTTCTAGATCCCTGAGGAATCGCCACACTGACTTCTACAATGGTTGAACTAGTTTACAGTCCCACCAACAGTGTAAAAGTGTTCCTATTTCTCCACATCCTCTCCAGCACCTGTTGTTTCCTGACTTTTTAATGATCGCCATTCTAACTGGTGTGAGATGGTATCTCATTGTCGTTTTGATTTGCATTTCTCTGATGGCCAGTGATGATGGGCATTTTTTCCTGTGTCTTTTGGCTGCATAAATGTCTTCTTTTGAGAAGTGTCTGTTCATATCCTTCACCCACTTGCTGATGGGGTTGTTTGTTTTTTTCTTGTAAATTTGTTGGAGTTCATTGTAGATTCTGGATATTAGCCCTTTGTCAGATGAGTAGATTGGAAAAATTTTCTCCCATTCTGTATAGGTTGCCTGTTCACTCTGATGGTAGTTTCTTTTGCTGTGCAAAAGCTCTTTAGTTTAATTAGATCCCGTTTGTCAATTTTGGCTTTTGTTGCCATTGCTTTTGGTGTTTTAGACATGAAGTCCTTGCCCATGCCTATGTCCTGAATGGTATTGTCTAGTTTTTCTTCTAGGGTTTTTATGGTTTTAGGTCTAACATTTAAGTCTTTAATCCATCTTGAATTAATTTTTGTATAAGGTGTAAGGAAGGGATCCAGTTTCAGCTTTCTACATATGGCTAGCCAGTTTTCCCAGCACCATTTATTAAATAGGGAATCCTTTCCCCATTTCTTGTTTTTGTCAGGTTTGTCAAAGATCAGATGGTTGTAGATATGCGGCATTATTTCTGAGGGCTCTGTTTTGTTCCATTGATCTATATCTCTGTTTTGGTACCAGTACCATGCTGTTTTGGTTACTGTAGCCTCGTAGTATAGTTTGAAGTCAGGTAGCGTGATGCCTCCAGCTTTGTTCTTTTTGCTTAGGATTGACTTAGGGCTGTTTTTTGGTTCCATATGAACTTTGAAGTAGTTTTTTCCAATTCAGTGAAGAATGTCATTGGTAGCTTGATGGGGATGGCACTGAATCTATAAATTACCTTGGGCAGTATGGCCATTTTCACAATATTGATTCTTCCTACCCATGAGCATGGAATGTTCTTCCATTTGTTTGTATCCTCTTTCATTGAGCAGTGGTTTGTAGTTCTCCTTGAAGAGGTCCTTCACGTCCCTTGTAAGTTGGATTCCTAGGTATTTTATTCTCTTTGAAGCAATTGTGAATGGGAGTTCACTCATGATTTGGCGCTCTGTTTGTCTGTTATTGGTGTATAAGAATGCTTGTGATTGTTGCACATTGATTTTGTATCCTGAGACTTTGCTGAAGTTGCCTATCAGCTTAAGGAGATTTTGGGCTGAGACAATGGGCTTTTCTAGATATACAAGCTTGTCGTCTGCAAACAGGGACAATTTGACTTCCTCTTTTCCTAACTGAATACCCTTTATTTCCTTCTCCTGCCTGATTGCCCTGTCCAGAACTTCCAACAATTATGTTGAATAGGAGTGGTGAGAGAGGGCATCCCTGTCTTGTGCCAGTTTTCAAAGGGAATGCTTCCAGTTTTTGCCCATTCAGTATGATATTGGCTGTGGGTTTGTCATTGATAGCTCTTATTATTTTGAGATATGTCCCATCAATACCTCATTTATTGAGAGTTTTTAGCATGAAGGGTTGTTGAATTTTGTCAAAGGCCTTTTCTGAATCTATTGAGATAATCATATGGTTTTTGTCGTTGGTTCTGTTTATATGCTGGATTATGTTTATTGATTTGCATATGTTGAACCAGCCTTGCATCCCAGGGATGAAGACCACTTGATCATGGTGGATAAGCTTTTTGATGTGCCGCTGGATTTGGTTTGCCAATATTTTATTGAGGATTTTTGCATCGATGTTCATCAGGGATATTGGGTCTAAAATTTTATGTTGTTGTTGTGTCTCTGCCAGGCTTTGGTATCAGGATGATGCTGGCCTCATAAAATGAGTTAGGGAGGATTCCTTCTTTTTCTATTGCTTGGAATAGTTTCAGAAGGAATGGTACCAGCTCCTCCTTGCACCTCAGGTAGAATTCGGCTGTGAATCCATCTGGTCTTGGACTTTTTTTGGTTGGTAAGCTATTAATTATTGCCTCAATTTCAGAGTCTATTCAGAGATTCAACTTCTTCCTGGTTTAGTCTTGGGAGGGTGTATGTGTCCAGGAATTTATCCATTTCTTCTAGATTTTCTAGTTTATTTGCGTAGAGGTGTTTATAGTATTCTCTGACGGTAGTTTGTATTTCTATGGGATCAGTGGTGATATCCCCTTTATCATTTTTTATTGCGTCTATTTGATTCTTCTCTCTTTTCTTCTTTATTAGTCTTGCTAGCGGTCTATCAATTTTGTTGATCTTTTCAAAAAACCAGCTCCTGGATTCACTGATTTTTTTGAAGGTTTTTTTGTGTCTCTATTTCCGTCAGTTCTGCTCTGATCTTAGTTATTTCTTGCCTTCTGCTAGCTTTTGAATGTGTTTGCTCTTGCTTCTCTAGTTCTTTTAATTGTGATGTTAGGGTGTCAGTTTTAGATTTTTCCTGCTTTCTCTTGTGGGCATTTAGTGCTATAAATTTCCCTCTACACACTGCTTTGAATGTGTCACAGAGATTCTGTTATGTTGTGTCTTTGTTCTCGTTGGTTTCAAAGAACATCTTTATTTCTGCCTTCATTTCATTATGTACCCAGTAGTCACTCAGGAGCAGGTTGTTCAGTTTCCATGTAGTTGAGCGGTTTTGAGTGAGTTTCTTAATCCTGAGTTCTAGTTTGATTGCACTGTGGTCTGAGAGACAGTTTGTTATAATTTCTGTTCTTTTACATTTGCTGAGGAGTGCTTTACTTCCAACTATGTGGTCAATTTTGGAATAAGTGCGGTGTGGTGCTGAGAAGAATGTATATTCTGTTGATTTGGGGTAGAGAGTTCTGTAGATGTCTATTAGGTCTGCTTGGTGCAGAGCTGAGTTCAATTCCTGGATATCCTTGTTAACTTTCTGTCTTGTTGATCTGTCTAATATTGATAGTGGGGTGTTAAAGTCTCCCATTATTATTGTGTGGGAGTCTAAGTCTCTTTCTAGGTCTCTAAGGACTTGCTTTATGAATCTGGGTACTCCTGTGTTGGGTGCATATATATTTAGGATAGTTAGCTCTTTTTGTTGAATTGATCCATTTACCATTATGTAATGGTCTTGTCTCTTTTGATCTTTGTTGGTTTAAAGTCTGTTTTATCAGAGACTAGGATTGCAACACCTATCTTTTTTTGTTTTCCATTTGCTTGGTAGATCTTCCTCCATCCATTTATTTTGAGCCTATGTATGTCACTACATGTGAGATAGGTTTCCTGAATACAGCACACTGATGGGTCTTGACTCTTTATCCAGTTTGCCAGTCTGTGTCTTTTAATTGGAGCATTTAGCCCATTTACATTTAAGGTTAATATGGTTATGTGTTAATTTGATCCTGTCATTATGATGTTAGCTGGTTATTTTGCTCGTTAGTTGATGCAGTTTCTTCCTAGCCTCAATGGTCTTTACAATTTGGCATGTTTTTGAGGTGGCTGGTACCGGTTGTTCCTTTCCATGTTTAGTGCTTCCTTCAGGAGGTCTTTTAGGGCAGGCCTGGTGGTGACCAAATCTCTCAGCATTTGCTTGTCTGTAAATTATTTTATTTCTCCTTCACTTACGAAGCTTAGTTTGGCTGGATATGAAATTCTGGGTTGAAAATTCTTTTCTTTAAGAATGTTGAATATTGGCCCCCACTCTCTTCTGGCTTGTAGAGTTTCTGCCGAGAGATCAGCTGTTAGTCTGATGGGCTTCCCTTTGTGGGTAACCCGACCTTTCTCTCTGGCTGCCCTTAACATTTTTTCCTTCATTTCAACTTTGGTGAATCTGACAATTATGTGTCTTGGAGTTGCTCTTCTCGAGGAGTATCTTTGTGGCGTTCTCTGTATTTCCTGAATTTCAGTGTTGGCCTGCCTTGCTAGGTTGGGGAAGTTCTCCTGGATAATATCCTGCAGAGTGTTTTCCAACTTGGTTCCATTCTCCCCATCACTTTCAGATACACCAATCAGACGTAGATTTGGTCTTTTCACATAGTCCCATATTTCTTGGAGGCTTTGTTTGTTTCTTTTTATTCTTTTTTCTCTAACTTCTCTTCTTGCTTCATTTCATTCATTTGATCTTCCATCACTGATACCCTTTCTTCCAGTTGATCAAGTCGGCTACTGAGGCTTGTGCATTCGTCACGTAGTTCTCGTGCCATGGTTTTCAGCTCCATCAGGTCTTTTAAGGACTTCTCTGCATTGGTTATTCTAGTTAGGCATTCGTCTAATTTTTTTTCAAGGTTTTTAACTTCTTTGCCATGGGTTCGAACTTCCTCCTTTAGCTCAGAGTAGTTTGATCGTCTGAAGCCTTCTTCTCTCAACTTGTCAAAGTCATTCTCCATCCAGCTTTGTTCCGTTGCTAGTGAGGAGCTGCATTCCTTTGGAGGAGGAGAGGCACTCTGATTTTTAAGAGTTTCCAGTTTTTCTGCTCTGTTTTTTCCCCATCTTTGTGGTTTTATGTACCTTTGGTCTTTGATGATAGTGACATACAGATGGGGTTTTGGTGTGGATGTCCTTTCTGTTTGTTAGTTTTCTTTCTAACAGTCAGGACCTTCAGCTGCAGATCTGTTGGAGTTTGCTGGAGGTCCACTCCAAACCCTGTTTGACTGGGTATCAGCAGCGGAGGCTGCAGAACAGTGGATATTGGTGAACAGCAAATGTTGCTGCCTGATCGTTCCTCTGGAAGTTTTGTCTCAGAGGAGTACCCGTCCATGTGAGGTGTCAGTCTGCCCCTACTGGGGGGTGCCTCCCAGTTAGGCTACTCAGGGGTCAGGGACCCACCTGAGGAGGCAGTCTGTCCATTCTCAGATCTCCAGCTGCGTGCTGGGAGAACCAATACTCTCTTCAAAGCTGTCAGACAGGGACATTTAAGTCTGCAGAGGATTCTGCTGCCTTTTGTTTGGCAATGCCCTGCCCCCAGAGGTGGAGTCTACAGAGGCAGGCAGGCAGGCCTCCTTGAGCTGCAGTGGGCTTCACCCAGTTCGAGCTTCCTGGACGCTTTGTTTACCTACTCAAGCCTCAGCAATGGTGGGTGCCCCTCCCCCAGCCTCGCTGCCGCCTTGCAGTTTGATCTCAGACTGCTGTGCTAGCAATGAGCGAGGGTCCATGGGCGTAGGACCCACTGAGCCAGGCGCGGGATATAATCTCTTGGTGTGCCGTTTGCTAAGACCATTGGAAAAGCGCAGTATTAGGGTGGGAGTGACCCAATTTTCCAGGTGCCCTCTCTCACCCCTTTCTTTGACTAGGAAAGGAATTCCCTGACCCCTTGCACTTCCCGGGTGAGGCAGTGCCTCACCCTGCTTCGGCTAACACTCGGTGCTCTGCACCCACTGTCCTGCACCCACTTTCTGACACTCCCCAGTGAGATAAACCCGGTACCTCAGTTGGAAATGCAGAAAACACCTGTCTTCCGCGTCGCTCGCGCTCGGAGCTGTAGACTGGAGCTGTTCCTATTCGGCCATCTTGGCTCGTCTCATTTTAAACTTGGGGATTTCTAGCCTCCATATCTGGGTGGTAGGAGACAATCCTGAATCTCACACTGCCTGTTTCATCCTCAGGTCCACCTTCTCCAATCCCTGCCTGCTGGGAGAGGACGATCTCTTGAGAAAGGAAAGACTTCTGTGCTCCCGAGAACTTCCTATCAGGTAGGTACCACTTACCTTTCACATTCCCATAGCGTCTTTTCTGCTCGAAACCATGGCTGTATTTCCTTTGCCCGTCTGACATCTTGTACCCTGAAGTGTTCCAATTGAGGCTCAAGGCCTTGCTTGTTTTTCTACAATACTGGGGTGATTTTAAGGGCAAGGATCTCCACAGGGAATATTACCCCAGACTGGTACTCTCATTCAGGTTATCACCGTCCTTGCCCCAGCCATATTTCATCTTGGCTGCTGGATTCCCAGGGATTTGTCAGCTACTGTGAAATAAAAAATGATGGTAATTAGCATTTATTGGGCCATTGTTCTGTGCCAGGCAACTGGGTTTATAGTCTCCACAATATTTTAAACTCTCAACAATTTGAAAGTTAGGAATCAAAACTCTGAATTGATAGAAGAAGAAGTGGCATGTTAAGAGGTTAAGAAATTTACTTGTGTAATATGACCGGGTTGGGTAGAATTAGGATTTAGAGCTTCCTCAGTTATCAACATTCTATAATCCCTGTTTCATTGAGCCCCCCACCTCCTCATTTTCTTGTTTTTGCTGCTGGAGTATTTGGAAGGAAATCCCAGACATCACATAATTTTACCTATAAATACTATCCTATGCATTTCCAACAGAGAAGGACTATTTGTTAAAAATGTAACCATAATATTACCACATTCAACAAAATCGACAGTAATTCCTTAATGTCTTAACTCTAGATTGTTTTAAAATCTGCCCATTTCTTCTACAAAATTGCTATTGCTTAGTTCAAACTGTACACACTTAACAATTCAGGTAAGAACTATAAGAGGGAGAAGTATCTGGAATTCAGCAAGGCCAATTCTCCCACTCCCTTTTCTCTTTACCTGTTGATGATTTCTGTTAATGACCGTGTCTCCATCCCTGGTCACCAGCCGGAGCTCTGAGTCTTTCTTGCCTCCTTGTTCTTCCTGAAATTCTCATCCTTCTAATTAGTGATGGAGTCCTCTCAATTCTACCTTGGAATACCCCTTTATTATTTTCCCCTCATCTCACTGTTGTGCTACCCAAATTTTCATCTTTTCTCCACATTCTAGTTCACCTTCCACCCTGCCTTTTAAGTTGCTCCTCTGAAGGAAAAATAAGGATCATGCCACTCACCTACTCAAGAGGGCCATTTCTTTTTCTTTTTTTTTTTTTTTTTTTTTTTTTTTGAGACGGAGTCTCGCTCTGTCGCCCAGGCTGGAGTGCAGTGGCGGGATCTCGGCTCACTGCAAGCTCCGCCTCCCAGGTTCACGCCATTCTCCTGCCTCAGCCTCCCAAGTAGCTGGGACTACAGGTGCCCGCCACTACGCCCGGCTAATTTTTTGTATTTTTAGTAGAGACGGGGTTTCACCGTTTTAGCCGGGATGGTCTCGATCTCCTGACCTCGTGATCCGCCCACCTCGGCCTCCCAAAGTGCTGGGATTACAGGCGTGAGCCACCGCGCCCGGAAGAGGGCCATTTCTTATTACCTACCTCCAACTCTGTCCAAACTCAATAATTAGAGTGTGAGGCCACATGCGGTGGCTCACGCCTGTAATCCCAGCACTTTGGGAGGCTGAAGTGATGGATCACTTGAACTCAGCCTGGACAACATGACAAAACCCCGTCTCTACTAAAAATAGAAAAATTATCTGGGCGTGGTGCTGCACACCTGTGGTCCCAGCTACTCAGGAGGCTGAGATGGGAGGATGGCTTGAGCCTGGAAAGTGGAGGTTGCAGTAAGCTGAGATCACACCACTGCGCTTCAGCCTGGGTGTGGGCTCTGGAGACAGATTGCCTAGATTCAAAGCCTGTCTTCACCGCACATTAGCTGTGTAACCCTGGAGACATTATTTCACTCTCTGTGCTTTCTACTCCTCATCTGTATAATGGAGAAAATAATAGTGCCCATCTCAGGGAGTTGTGAGGAAGAAATGTGGTAATTCCTATACGGCCTGGCAGATAATTCCTATAAGGTAGTGCCTGGCACATAATATATGCTTACTAAATATGGACTGGGATTGTTAATATTGATATCTGATGAATATCTGAATTATCTCTCAGCTCACCTTTTCAGTCTTGTCCCTACCACTTACTCCCTTTGTTGTAGTGCCCTTGTAGCTGTGTGGGAATAGATTCCATTCTGTGCTGTTTTATTCCTCTGTGGTTTTCTACTTGGCAATTGAACTCCTATTGATTTAGTCACACATTTACTCCATTGCAAAGCATGCCTTGATTTTCTCAGGGAAAGTTGCCCTCAGCCTCTTCTTCAGCACCAAAGCACTTTTTATTTTTTTGGAGACGGAGTTTTGCTCTTTTTGCGCAGGCTGGAGTGCAATGGCACTATCTCGGCTCACCGCAACCTCCGTCTCCTGGGTTCAAGTGATTCTCCTTTCTCAGCCTCCCAAGTAGCTGGGATTATAGGCATGCGCCACCACGCCCGGCTAATTTTGTATTTTTAGAGGAGACAGGGCTTCTCCGTGTTGGTCAGGCTGGTCTTGCCCTCCTGACCTCAGGTGATCCACCCGCCTCAGCCTCCCAAAATGCTGGGATTCCAGGCATGAGCCACCACGCCTGGCCTGAAGCACTTTATATATGAGTACTTTCCCTCACTGGACCATGAAGTGGCTCTTTAAGGATCAGGGACCTCTTGCTCATTTTGGGTCACTGACACAGTGCCTAACAACTAGCAGGACTAAATCAGTCTTCGTGAGCATTTGAGCAGCCCTGCTTCCTGGCCGTGGAGGAGCCATATGGAGGAGCCATATGAAGGAGCCGGGGCGGGTGGGTACGGGGGGTTCAGATTGAGAAGTAGGTTGGGCCATTATTAAGAAAGGCCAGGATACCAAGTTAGTGAGTTGGACTCACTCTGTGGCCATCAGGGAACCACTTGAAGGTTTTGAGCTACTTTTGAGTGTGATCTCTCCCTTCAGCTATTACCCCATTTCTCTGCTTTCCTTTATTGCAAAACTCCCCAAAAGAATGGTCTATACTTGTTGCCTCCAGTTCTATTTTTCCATTCTGTTTTAAATCCTTTTGTAGCTCACCCTCCAGAAACTGTTCTTGCCAAGGTCACCAGCAGCCACTACTGTGCTAAACACAGGAATGAATTTCCAGTCTTTATTTTACTCTGTCTTCTTGGCAGCAATTCCTGTGGTCGATCTCTTCTTCCTCCTTGACACACCTTGTCACTTGGCTCCAGTACTGTATGTACCTCTCCTTTTCTTCCCTCCCTCACAGGCTACTTCTCTGTCTTCCCTGACGGTTCTTTTTTTCCCTGGCCTCCTAACTGTGGAGTCCTCCAGAGCTTAGTCCTTGACAATTCCTCCATCTTCCTCCTCTGCCTTGGTGATCTCCTCCACTCTGAGGACTTTAAATCCATCTATATGACTCTAGTGTAGACCTCTTCCTTCCCCTCCAGTATTGGATGACTAATTGCCTACTTGTAATCTCCACTTGGATCTGTATTTAGCATCTCAAACCTAGTCTCAAACATCAAACTTTGTTCTTCTCCCCCAAAATTTGCTCCAGTTATAGCTTTCCTCACACCTGTTGATGGTAAAATTTTTTTTTTTAGACAGAGTTTTGCTTTTGTTGCCCAGGCTGGAGTGCAGTGGTGCGATCTCGGCTCACCGCAACCTCTGTCTCCCGGGTTCAAGCAATTCTCCTGCCTCAGCCTCCCGAGTAGCTGGGATTACAGGCATGTGCCACCATGCCCGGCTAATTTTGTATTTTTAGTAGAGATGGGGTTTCTCCATGTTGGTCAGGCTGGTCTCAAACTCCCGACCTCAGGTGATCTGCCCACCTCGGCCTCCCACAGTGCTGGGATTAAAGGCATGAGTCACCGTGCCTGGCTGATGGTAAGTCTTATCCTTCCAACTGCTCCAGGCAAAAATACTAGAATTGTCTTTGATTTTTTTTTCATCTCACAACTGACATACAATAAGGAAATTCAGGATGTGATTGCTATTTACCACCTACACTGTGTCCACTTTCGTCCAAACCACCATTATCTCCCACCTGAATTATTTCAACAGCCTTTACAGGATTTCCTTGCTTCTCTCCTTGTTCTCTGTCCCCTTTGTCTGTTCCTAGTCTACCAGCCAGAGACATCTTTTAAAATGTAAATCCAAGCTTGTTATTCCTCTGCTCCAAATACTCCAATGGCTTCTCATTTCCCTCCACATCAAAACCAGCATGCTCAAGGCTGCACATGACCTGTGCCCTGGTACCGCTGTCGTTGACTGCTCTTAACTGCCACCACTGTGTTTCACTTACACCCTCCTGCCACAGTGAACTTGTTATTTCTGAAATAGCAGGGCTCACTCCTGCCCTAGGACCTTCAATGGGCTGGTTTCTTTCCTTATAGTTCTACTGACACAGTTGCCCACATGAATCACTCCCTCACATTGTTCAAATCTCAAGTAATCACCTTTAAAAGGCTTTCCTTAAATACTCGATTTAAAATTGCAACTCCTTCAGTCTCTGCCACTGGATCCTTCTGGTGCCCTCAGTACTTATCTCCGTCTGATATCTTGTGTCTTTTCTGAGGTATATATTTTTTTTGTCCATCTCCTTGCCCCTAAACCCCACTAAAATGGCAGCTACACGAGTGCTGGTATTTTTTCTGTTGCATTTGTGGCAGTGTCCCAAATGTTGGAATACTGCATTTAGTAGCCGGGCATGGTGGCTCACGCCTGTAATCCCAGCGCGTTGGGAGGCCGAGGCAGACGGATCACAAAGTCAGGAGTTCGAGACCAGCCTGGCCAACATGGTGAAACCCCATCTCTACTAAAAATTCAAACAATTAGCTGGATGTGGTGGCAGGTGCCTGTAATCCCAGGTACTTGGGAGGCTGAGGCAAAAGAATCACTTGAACCTGGGAGGCAGAGGTTGCGGTGAGCCAAGATTGCACCACTGCACTCCAGCCTGGGCAACAGGGTGAGACTCTGTCTCAAAAAAAAAAAAAAGAAAAAAGAAAAAAAAAAGTCTGCACTTAGTACAGATCTTGCTTTATAACTGTTAGCTACAGATACTAGTGTTACTAGGAGAAAGGCTTTGTCAGCTTCAGCTACGTTATACTGCAGGTACTATAGGTTGGCTTTAGCTTTGTACCATGACTTTTTACAGTAGAACCACAGTCCCTCTTCGGACATGCTGTTCTCAGAACAAAAGAAATGGTGGAATTATGCAATGCTTAGAAATGGCATCGTCGCTTTCACTCACATTCATTTTCCAAGGCAAGTTACAAGGTCAAGCCTGATGTCTGGGACAGGGAAGTACCATCCTTTTATAGGGCAACAAATAATTGGGAACGATGATAAAATCTACCACAAAGGCCTCTTTTATTCTAATCACTAGAATTATATTAGCAAAAAGACTGAGAAGCATTTCATCTTACAAGAAGCTTCACAGTTTAGTAAAGACAGTCACGTAAATAGAGAAATTGCAATATGGTATGATGGCCAGGTTGGACAGAAGAGGGAGTGGTCATCTCTACCTATGGTGTTGAGGGATGAATTACAAGAGCTGCTTAGAGACCCCAGCTAGTCTCAGAAGGGTACTAGGCAACAATAGGCCTGTAGCCATTTGGGCTGAAATCCTGGACAGCGTCTGAGGAGCTTTTGAAGGTGGCATAGCTCCTAATACCACCTGCCTTCTTTGGGACCACATCAGTGT
Organism: Homo sapiens; assembly: GCF_000001405.40. Classification (NCBI taxonomy): domain Eukaryota; kingdom Metazoa; phylum Chordata; class Mammalia; order Primates; family Hominidae; genus Homo; species Homo sapiens. Next base: position 2,494,975 of record NC_000020.11, on the reverse strand, counting down.
AGGACTTTGACTTGGGCCCATCAGGATACACAAATGCACATCTGTGGTAAGGTCATGTGGTAGACATGCATAGCAATGGAAGCTAGGAGGTTATCTCTTCAGAGTAATTGTGAGAACTGGAGCTCTCCCTTAACTAAGAAGGACTGAGTTTTGATCTCCTAAACTCCTCACAATACAGGGACATAGGGATTTTTTTTTTTTTTCTTGAGACAGGGTCTTACTCCTGCCGTCCAGGCTAGAGTGCAATGGCATGATCTCAGCTCACTGCAGCCTCGACTTCCCGAGGTCAGGTGATCCTCCCACCTCAGCCTGCTGAGTAGCTGGGACTACAGGCGCACACCACCATGCCCAGCTGATTTTTGTATTTTTTGTAGAGACGGCATTTCGCTATGTTGCCCAGACTGGTCTTGAGCTCCTGAGCTTAAGTGATTAGCTTGCCGTGGCCTCCCAAAGTACTGAGATTACAGGTGTGAACCACTGTGCCCATCCAAGACACAAGGAACTGAATATAGATGGAACCTTGGGTTGGGGCAGGGGAATCAGAAGCTGAGTTCTGCACGCCCCAGTTGGTCTACAGGAAACAGTCAGAGGCTCTTTCTCCACAGGCATTATGCTATATTCTGTCTTCTCTCTGACTCAGGCTTCAGGTAGTAGCAGAGACTGATCCAAAACATAGAGTTTGAATCTGAGGTGCAGAGGCAGAAGAAGTAAAGTTTGAGAGCTAAGGGAGAGTGGCAGAACACAAGCAGGAGGGCCTAGAAATGAAGGTAGAGTGAATGAAGGTAGAAAATCCAGGGATCCCATGTAGATGGAGACTCCGTGTTTGTTGAATGAGGAGGGTGTGAGAGGACAGGATCCCTGTTGAAGAGGCATAGGCCTAGGGCCCACAATAAAAGCCCCAGCAATAGCAAATTGCTTCTTCATCCCACAGGTCCTGGCTGCAGGGAAACAAGCTGGGCTTTTTATAATTAAGGTTGGAAGAAGTCACCACAGGCAGCAGAACTCCATCTTGAGATGAAATAACATCTACCTGGACCTCTGGCAGAATTTCAAGGCACACACTGGGCTGACTCTGGCGCCATGATGTTGCCTTATCCTTCAGCACTGGGAGATCAATACTGGGAAGAGATTTTGCTTCCAAAGAATGGGGAAAATGTAGAGACTATGAAGAAATTGACCCAAAATCATAAAGCGAAAGGTGAGAATTGTTGAGGGAGCCGGAGGGATGAAGAGGAAGCCAAGGCTCCAGGTTCACCTGAAAATGCTTCAGAGGTCACCTCTGAGTTAAGTGACTACTTCCTTCATCCTAAGGCTCAGAAGAGCTGCTCAGGGAGCGTCATGGTGGGGGGTGGGGGGTGGGGGGGTCTGGTTTCTCATAGCTTCTTTTTCTTTCCCTAGGCTTGCCTTCTAATGATACTGACTGCCCCCAGAAAAAGGAGGGAAAGGCCCAAATAGTGGTGAGTTGGGGTTACATTTTTTTTTTTTCCTGAAGTGCTGGCTCATTTTCCAGAGAATAGACATATATTCTCTTTCTTGGGAAAGGAAAAGGCGGTCAACATCTGGGTAGATGAGTGAAGCATTAGGCTTTCTTGAAAAAAGTTGTCAAAGCACATAGCAAAGACAGGGATTTTACAGATCCCATTTAGTAACCTGAGCTTTTAAAAAATGCTCATTCCAGACCCCATCTGTTCACTCCCATTTTTCTCTGTAATCCAAGTTTTCTTCCATTCTCTCCTCTAAATCTTTACCACTCCCTACTGCCCAGCACAAGCCCCAAGTCCATGATGCTTTTGTTCCTTCTGCAGCCCATTCTCTGCTGTTTCATCTCTGAATTCCTTCATTATGAATCCTCAAAGTCACTGTCTTAAACACAGCCTGAGGTTTACAAATTAATTCACAAATCATTTCTCCGGTGAAATCATATATGTCAAGGGCCTAGAATGTGTTCTGTGCTCAGTTATGCTCCTCACAGGTTTTAACAGAAAGCCAGGCAGACAGTAGTGCTCAGAAGAACTTCATATGGAGAACCATATATTCTGACGAATTACATCAACTTGCATATCCAGGCTCTCCAGGGTCACCAGCTGTGCTCCACACACAGGGAAGATTGATGGTGGCTTGCTATACATTAATTTACTGGTTGTTTGTAGGTACCAGTTACATTCAGGGATGTGACTGTGATCTTCACAGAAGCAGAATGGAAGAGACTGAGTCCAGAGCAGAGGAATCTATACAAAGAAGTGATGCTGGAGAATTACAGGAATCTTCTCTCATTGGGTAAGGCTGTGTTCTTTCCTTTCCTTCATTAATTCAGTAGAGATTTACTGATCACCTAATATGTACCACAAAAAAATGTTCTAGATACTTACAACACATTAGTAAACAAAATCGTAATCCCTGCCTCCATGGGGCTTACTTTCTAGTGTAAGGAGACAGACAACAAACAAAAAGCCTCATATACAGGGATATTATAATATGGTATGTTAAAAGGTGATAAGTGCAACATAGTAAAAAATAATGAAATAAGGCAGGATAAAGGGGTATTGGGTGTGATAGGGTGGCTGGCTGAAGTTTAAAACTGGGTATTTGAAATCAGTGAAGAAGTAATATTTGTCTAAAGACATAATGTGGTGAGGAGGTTAGAACTGTAGGTATCTAGTGTAAGAGCATTTCAGGTGAAGGGAATTATTGACACGAAGACCTTAATGAAGGGATGTACCTGCCCAGTATATGAAGCTGCAAGGAGGCAAGCAAGGCTGGGGGCATGGTTTGCAAGGGGGAGAGATGCAGCTCTGTGACATAAGTTAAAATTAAGAGTCAAGTTTATTGTGGTTTGGGGGTTTCATAAACTATGTTTTTTTCTTTTTCATTTGTTTACAAACCTAAACGAGGTCAGGAGATCGAGACCATCCTGGCCAACATAGTGAAATCCCATCTCTACTAAAAATACAAAAATTAGCTGAGCATGGTGGCATGTGCCTGTAATCTCAGCTACTTGGGAGCCTGAGGCAGGAGAATCACTTGAACCAGGGAGTCAGAGGTTGCAGTGAGCCGAGATTGTGCCGTTGCACTCCAGCCTGGTGACAGAGTGAAACTCAGTCTGAAAAAATAAAAAAAAATAAAAAAATATTTAAATCTGGGTTGATAAATGTTATCAATTGCAACATAACTCTAGATCAGGGGTTGGCCAACTTTTTCTGTAAAGGGCCAAACAATAACTGTTTTTACAGGTGATAAGCCCTCTGTAACAACCCTTAACTTGCCATTGAGTTGCAGCCATAAACAGTATGTGAACGGATGAGCATTGATATGTTCCAATAAAACTTTCTTTATAGACACTGAAATTTGAATTTAATATAATGTTTATGTATCATGAAATATTACTACTCTTTTTACTTTTTTCTAGCCATTTAAAAATGTAAAAACCATTCTTAGCTTGTAGGTGATACAAAAACAGAGGACTGGATTTAGCTTGTGGGTAGTCATTTTCCACTCCTTGTTCTAGATCAGTGCTGTCTAGTAGAAATATAATGTGAGCCACATAGGTAAGTTTAAATTTCCTAGTAACCACATTTTTACAAGTATAACTACAGGTGAAATCAACTTTAAGACTATATATATTATTTAATCCAATATATTAAAATATCATTTTAACATGAAATTAACATAAAACTTATTAATTAGGTATTTTACTTATTTTTTTGTACTGTCTTTGAAACCTGGTTGTATTTTACACTTAGAGCACATCTTAGTTCAGATTAGCCATGTTTCAAGTGCTCAATGAGCACATGGCCAGTGGCTGCTATACTGGATAGTACTGTTCTAGATATTCCTATGTTTCTAGATAAAACATGTAGAGAAGAATCACATTTTTGGAGACACAAACCAGTTTCAGGGAGGAGTTTCTTTGGGAGTTTGCTCCAAATGGCGTGGCTGTTTCCCTGATATGATTTAATCAGATTTACTTTATTCCATTTTCATCTTCTTTGATGTGTTTTGATCTGATTCGCTCTGGTTTGAACTAGCGCCCATCTGACCTGGCTCCATCTAAATCACTGTAGATTCATCCATTTCGGACTCGTTCTGTGTGTGTTTTTCCTTTTAAAAAAATGATTTATAATTTTTGTAAATGGTTTTGTGTGTTTTGATTTGGCCTTAGCTGGTTAGTCCAACTAGGTTTTGTTTTTATTTTTCTCTGGTCATACTGTTTTCTCTTCCACTGTTAATACATATAACTGATTCAGAGGAAAATGTTAAAACTGACCTGGTTCATAGCCAAGTGTGGTGGCGGGCACCTGTAATCCCAGCTACTCAGGAGGCTGAGGCAGGAGATTCACTTGAACCCAGGAGGTGGAGGTTGCAGTGAGCTGAGATCATGCCATTGCACTCCAGCCTGGG